>NT_187566.1:0-141812 GCF_000001405.40 Homo sapiens
AAAGCGTGGGTTGCAAAGAAGCTCAGTGAGATCAACACAAAGTTGAAAATCAACACAAAGAAATTTCTAAAGCAATCCAGGAAATGAAGGAAGAGATAAATATCTTAAAAAGATATTAGAGCTCATGCCTATTATCCCAGCACTTTGGGAGGCTGATGCAGGTGGATCCCGAGGTCAGGAGATGGAGACAATCCTGGCCAACATGGTGAAATCCCGTCTCTACTAAAAATACAAAAATTAGCTGGGCGTGGTGTTGGGCACTTGTAATCCCAGCTACTCGGGAAGCTGAGGCAGGAGTATTACTTGAACCCAGGAGGCAGAGGTTGCAGTGAGCTGAGATCATGCCACGGCACTCTAGGCTGGCGACAGAGTGAGACTCCATCTCAACAAACAAACAAAAAAAGATATTAGTCAGACCTTCTGAAATTGAAAACCTCACTCAGTGAATTTCAAAATATAATTGAAATTTTTATTAATAGACTGGACCTAACAGAAGGAAAAATTTCAGAACTTAAAGACCAATTTTTTTTAACTAACCCAGTGAGACAAAAATGAAAAAGAATTTTGATAAATTAACAAAATCTTCAAGAAATATGGGATTATGTAAAGTGAGCAAACTTACGAATTACTGGCATTCCTGCAAGAGAAGGAGAAAAAGCAGACAACGTGGAGACTATATTTGAGGGAATAATTTAAGGAAATTTCCCTAATCTTGCTAGATGTAAGTGTCCAGATACAAGAAATCCAGAAGACATTTGCAAGATACTACACAAAATGAACACCACCAAGGCATATTATCACCAGACTGTCCCAGGTCAATCAATGAAAAACTCATAAAGGCAGCTTGAGAAAAAGGGCAAGTCACATACAAAGGAAACCACATCAGGAAACCTCAGAAGCCAGGACAGTTTAGGGGCCTATTTTCAGCATTCTTAAAAGAAGTTCCAGCCAGGAATTTCATATCCCACCAGACTAAGCTTAATAAGTGAAGGAAAAAGACAATCTTTTCTAGACAAACAAGCACTAAGAGAAGTCATTACCACAAGAGGAGCTTTGCAAAAGATCCTTAAGAGAGTTCTAAACGTAGAAACAAAAGAACAATATCTGCTACCACAAAAACACACATAAGTGCATAGCCTGCAGACTCTACAAAGCAACCACACAATAGAAACTGTAAATCAGCCAGCTAACAACTTCAGGATAGGATCAAAATCTCACATATCAATATTAATCTTGAATGTAAATGGCCTAAATAGCCCGCTTGAAAGGCACAGAATGGCAAGTCGAACTAAAAAACAAGACCTGTCCATCTCCTGTCTTCCAGAAACCCATCTCACAAATAATGATACCCATAGGCTCAAAGTAAATGGCTAGAGAAGGATCTACCATGTAAACAGAAAACAAAAAAGAGCAGGGGGTCACTATTCTTAGGTAAGATAAAATGGATTGTAAATCAGCAACAGTAAAAAAGGACCGAGAAGGGCATTACATAATGATAAAGGGTTCAATTCAACAGAAAATTTAAGTATCTTAAATATATACGCACGCAACTTTGGAGTACCCAGATTCATAAAATGAGTACTTCTAGACTTACAAAAAGGCTTAGCCACACAGTAGTAGCAGGGGACTCTATGCCCACTGAAAGCATTAGACAGATTGAGGCAGAAAACTAACAAAGAAATGCTGGACTTATACTCAGCACTTGACTAGTTGGACTTAATGGACATCTACAGAATACTCCACTTATCAACCACAGAATATACATTCTTCTCATCTGCACATGGAACATACTCCAAGATCAACTGCACACTCAACCATAAAGCAAGTCACAATAAATTCAGAAAGCCAAAACTCATACCAGCCATTCTCTTGGACCACAGTGGAATAAAAATAGATACCAATATCAAGAATATCTCTGAAAACCACGCAATTACATGGAAACTAAACAATTTGCTTCTGAATGACTTTCGGGCAAACAGGGAAATCATGGCAGAAACATAAAAATTCTTTGAAATACGTGACAGCAGAGACACAACACATCAAAATCTCTGAGGTACAGCAAAAACAGTGTTGAGAGGAAAGTATATAGCACTAAACACCTCCCTGAAAAAGTTAGATCTCAAATTAACGTTCTAACATCACAGTTAGAAGAACTAGAAAAACAAGAACGAACTAACCCCAAAGCTAGCAGAAGGAAAGAAATAACAAAACCGGAGCTGACCAGAATGAAGGTAAGACCCCCAAACCCTGGCAAAGACTCAACACAACCAAAAGTTTGTTTATTGAAAGGATAAAGTGAATCGATAGATTGCTAGCTATAGTAACAAAAAAAAAAAAAGAGAGAAAATCAAATAAGCACAATTAGAACCAATAAAGGTGACATTACAACCTATTCCATAGAAATACAGAAAGATCTTCTGTGACTATTATGAATGCCTCTATGCATGCAAACTAGAACATCTACAGGAAATGGATAAATTCCTGGAAATACAGTCTCCCAAGATTGAATCAGGAAGAAACTGAAACACTCAACAGCCATTATTGAGTTCCAGAATTGAGTCTGTAATGAAAAACCTGCCAAACAACAAAACATCCCTGGACCAGATGGATTCACAGCCGAATTCTACCCAAGGTGTAAAGAAGAACTGGTACCAATATTCTCCAGACACTATTCAAAAAAGTTGAGGAGGAGGGATCTCTCCCTAACTCATTCTATGAAGCCATCATCACTCTGATACCAAAACCTGGTAAAGACACCGAAAAAAGAAAACTACAGGCCAGGATTCCTGATAAACATAGACACAAAAGTGCTCAACAAAATACTAGCAAACCAAATTTCAACAGCACATCAAAAAGTTAATTCATCATGATCAAGTAGGCTTTATTCCTCAGATTTGCAAAGATGGTTTGATTTATGCAAATCAGTAGATATGATTCACCACATAAGTAGAATTAAAATGAAAATTATGTGATTATTTCAATAGATGTGGCAGAAGCTTTCAATGAAATCTAACATTTCTTCATGATAAAAACCCTCAAGAAACAAGGTATCAAAGGAACATACCTCAAAATACTAAGAACCATCTATGGCAAACCCACAACCAACACTATATTGAATGGGCAGAAACTGAAAGTATTCCCCTTGAGAACAGGACAAGGATGCACACTCTCATCACTCCTATTAAACGTAGTGCTGGAAGTGCTAGCCACAGCAGTTAGCCAAGAGAAAGAAAGAAAAAGCATCCAAATAGGAAAAGAAGAAGTCAAAATGTTGTTCTTTGCTGATGGCATGATTGTATACTTAGGAAATCTAAGGACTCTGCCAAAAGGCTATTAAAATTGATAAATGATTTTAGCAAGATTTCAGGATATAATACCAATGTATAAAAAAACAGCATTTCTATAAACCAATAATGTTCAAGCTGAGAGCCAAATCAAGAATGTAATCTCATTTATAATAGCCACACAGACAAAACATACCTATGAATATACCTAACCAAGGAGGTGAAAGAACTCTACAAGGAGAACTACAAAATACTACTAAAATAAATCATAGATGTCACAAACCAATGGAAAACCTCTCAGCTTATGGATTGGACGAGTCAATATCATTAAAATGGCAATACTACTCAAAGCAATCTACAGATTCAACACTGTTCCTGTCAAACTACTGATGTCATTTTTCACAGAATTGGAAAAACTATGCTAAAACATATATGGAACCAAAAAAGAGCCTGAGTAGCTAAAGCGATCCTAAGCAAAATGAACAAAATCAGGGGCATAACATTACCTGACTTCATACTATACTATAAGGATACGGTAAGCAAAACAGCATGATACCGGTACAAAAACAAATAGAGCAATGGAACAGAACAGAGAACCCAGAAATAAAGCCACACATCTATAGCTGTCTTCAACAAAATTGACAAAAATAAGTGGTGCTAGGAAACTGGCCAGCCATCTGCAGAAGAATGAAACTGGATACCTGCCTTTCACCATGTGCAAAAATCAACTCAAGATAGCCTCTAACAAGAATGTCAGCCTGTCTGTTGAAGCTTTCAAACCAGGCATTGACTTCTCTTCTATAGCTAGGAAACGTCTGAATGGCGTCTTCTTCCAATAGGAGGCTGTTTGATCTACACTGAAAATCCGTTATTTGGTGTAGCCACCTTTATCTGTCATCTTAGTAAGATCTTCTGGATAACTTGCTGCAGCTGTTACCTCAGCACTTGCTGCTTCACCTTGCATTTTTGTGTTCTGGAGATAGCTTCTTTTCTTAAACGTCATAACAGCACCTGTTAGCTTCAAAATTTTCTTCTGCAGTTTCACCTCTCTCAGCCTTTATAGAATTGAAGAAGTTAGGGTCTTGATGTGGACTAGGCTTTAGCTTAAGGGAATGTTGTGGCTGGTTTGAGCTTCTATCCATATGATTAAACTTTATATTAGCAATAAGGCTGTTTTGCTTTCTTATCTGTTGTGTGTTCAGTGGAATAGCACTTTTAATTTTTTCCAAGAACTTTTTATTTTGCATTCACAACATGACTGGTGCAAGAGGCCTAGCTTTCAGCCTGTCTCTGCTTTTGGCATGCCTTCCTCACCAAGCTTAATGATTTCTAGCTTTTGATTTAACGTGAGACCTGGGACTCTTCCCTTTCATTTGAACACACAGGGGCCATTGTAGGGTTATTAATTGGCCTAATTTTAATGATTGTTGTGTCTCAGGGAATGAGGAGGCCCCAAAAGAGGGAGCGAGATGGGGAATTGGCTGGTCGGTGGAGCAGTCAGAACACACACAACATTGATCAATTAAGTTTGCTATCTCAGGTGGGCACGGTTTGCGGTCCCACCGCAAATAATTACAGTCATAACATCAAAGATTGCTGATCACAGACTACTATAACAGGCATAATCATAGTAAAAATTGGAAATATTGTGAGAATTACCAAAATGTGACTTGAAGGGAGTATATGGGACTAGAAAAATAGTGCTAACCGTCTGACACAGTGCAGGGTTGCCACAAACCTTCAAGTTGGAAAAAACTCAGTATCTGCAAAGCACAGTGCAATGAAACGAGTTATGCTTGTATTACTATTTTTACCTGCTTCTGTTTGGTCTTTGCTTTTCTTTCCATTTTATTTTATTTTAATGTTTTTTATTGAGACGGAGTCTTGCTCAGTCGCCTAGGCTGGAGTGCAGTGGCACAATCTTGGCTCACTGCAACCTCCGCCTCCTGGGATCAAGCAATTCTTCCGCCTCAGCCTCCTGAGTAGCTGGGATTACAGGTACCCGCTGTCACGCCCAGCTACTTTTTGTAGTTTTGTAGAGACAGGGTTTCACCATGTTGGCCAGGCTGGTCATGAACTCCTGACCTCAGGTGATCTGCCCATCTTGGCCTCCCCACAATGTGCTGGGATTACAGGCATGAGCCACCGCGCCCGGGTTGGTCTTCACTTAAAAAAAAATATATATATATATATATTATATATATATATAATATATATATAATATATATATAATATATATTATATTATATATTTATTATATTATATTATATATTATATTATATAATATATATATTATATAGGGTAATGGAATAGAGCTTAAACTGTGAAGTCAGACAGACCTGTATTCCACTGTGAGTGTGTTGGTGTTAGTGGCTGTATGACTTTGCACATGTTATGTAGCGCCTCTTAGCTTCATCTGTGAAGTAAAACTAGTGATAACTGTGAGGACTGAAATCCACTAAACTACAGGAAGTCCATGACACAAAAGCTAGTCATTGTGAACGTGGAAAGTTGCTCAGGGTCCGTCGTCTGTTAATACCATCATCCAGTTGGTAATTCAGATTGGAAATTTTTGTGTTTTAGTCTCCTTTTTAGCATTTATCATACAATGCTGAAATAACCTATTTATGTCTTTTTCTCTAGACGGGAAGCTCTCTGAGGGTAGACTGTCTTATTGACTCTTGTATTTCTAGTGTTCAGTATAGTGTCTTTCAGAAAGTAGATATTCAGTAAAGATTACTTGAATAATTGAGATGTTTTTCAACCTTTGTTAAACCTGTACTCTTTTTTGCTAAAAGTAAATTTTATACCTGCCTTTAGTGTTACTTGAAGTTTAAAATAAAGTAAAAGGTGGTATCTAAAAACAAGCTGATGTTTTGTAATAAAGCACTATCTCATTTTCAAAGTGCTTATTAAATAACTTAAAAGATTATGATGCATAGCCCATGGGGTTTCATTCTACCTGACTCCATTCCTTGGAGAATCAGCCAGTGGATAAATTGCCCGGAAACAACGTTGAGTTTTGATGTCAGTTAGGATACTGACTAGACCTTAGGTTTCCTCAACTCGGAAATGATGAAAGTTGAATTATAATAGACTTTTAAGATATTACTCTCTTTAATTTTTGTCTTATTAATAATAATTAATAATACAGTGCTTACTGCGTGCCAGCTAACCCAGTCAACACTTTTCATGTATTATGTCTTAATTCTGAAAAATCTTTAGTGACTACTATGTTTATTATAGGCATTTTACCAATGCGAACAAGCAGAGTAGCTCAGGACAGGAAATTATGAAGAATATCACCAGCGCAATCATTGAGTAGAAAATAACTTGATGCTTGTCGTGGAGGTCAGTGAAATAGAGGCGAATGCAGATTCACTCTCTACTGCTAAACTTGGATTGTTGCAGTAACAAAGACTTACACAGAAGGAGGCTGTCCAGATATTATGCTGCACCCCAAAGATGGCCAAACCTATCATCTGAGTGGTGACACCAGAAAAAGGGGGCATCACCTTAAGGTGAAATAAAGCACCAAAGCATTGTTTGAGAAATAAGACCCTTAACTTCTAAACTTGGGATATGTCCCTTATGTTCCAAGAAATTGACTCATAATGAAGGAAAATTTTTCCTCCTGGAGTCCTCAAAAGTGTTTTTTCCTTCTTTAGGATAAGTACCTGGAATGAGTTCTCTCTATTTAAAAAGCCCTTAAAGGTATCTAGCAGTCCTTGTCAGCATTTTCACATAAGGGCTGTTGGTGAACTGATAGTGTTGGCAATAAATAGAAAGTGGATCATTAGTTTTGAAAAGTGTACTTTAACTCTGTGTTTTAAGCTGTCTTTTGTTTCCATTTATACTCATTTAGGTTATTCTGCTTCCTCAAAGCCCTCTGATTAATAGTACTCCAGGCCAATGTTATGTTCTCAGTGTGTGTGTATGTGTGTACACATGTGTGTTGGGGGGAGAGAAATAGATAGACTGACCTATTCTGTACAGTGGATCAAATAAGTTTCTTCTACTGGCCTGCCTTGGAGCCTATTACTGATTTATAATATTTCTGTGGAAAAAATGTGTTCAAAATTTTTAATAAATGTTCTACATTGAAGGTGCCAGTTATTCCATAAGGTTTAAATTTAGAAGTAATTTTAATTGTAGGTTAACATCCTTATTAATAATGTAAATAGTACATAATGATTTGAAAATTTTATTATACATTGTTCTTGTCACCAAAGGGGAAAGTTGAGAGTGTGCGTGTTCATACGTGTGTATATGTGCGTGTGTGTCTGTGTGCACATGCACAGATACATATAATCTCTGGGATAGTTTTGATTTATTTTAATCAGAGACATTCTAACCGTGTTTTGCCTGCATTTTGTGAAATGAGTGGATAAATTAGTTCTCTCATTTAATGGCAGATTTTTAGAATATTTAAATAATAGAAAATATTGTGTCATGTTAGCCAGAATGTTTTGTAGATACATCACAGCAAATTAACGAATGACTAGATTTATATAAGCAAGTTTATTTGACTTGAGTCATCATGTGTTGAGAATAGATTTGAGTACTTTTTTTTTTTAGTAAATTCTAATATTTAGTAGTTTTTGTTGTTTTTTGAGTCATTGTTAAAAAGGTAAAGACAAGAGTACAAGGCTGGTATTGGAGAAATTAGTTTGGGAGAACAACTGATGTTCTGTCAGGGCTGTTCTGAAATTCATCCTAATTACTGTTTGTTTTTATCTTTGTGCCTTGAGTTATGAAGAAAGCTGTAATCCCTGAGCCACGTAATGCTGCACAGCTTCCATGCAGCCAAGAGACAGTGCTGCGTAGTGCTGTGCATGGCTTTAGGGCTTGGTATTTTTGTTTTTTTTTTTTTGGTTTTTTTTTCCCAGATCTTCTGGAGCCTGTGTATGGGACCCCTTTGTTGGGTGTTCACAGAATTTTAGGCTTTGGAGGTTTTATTTTTTATTTTTATCTGGGAATGCTCCTATAAATATTCTTTAGCCTAAATCATTAACTTGATGTTTGTGACTGGGTATCTCTCTTCTAATTGTGCTTTCTTTTTACAGGCATGCCTTACATTTTCTTGTACAAAGTGGAATTTCCTACTGTATCATGATCCTAATAGGAGTGGAGAACATATATAAGTATTTACTTTGTTCACGTAGAAATATGTATTTCACTTTGATATAATTGGATCAGAGTAGAATTTTATTACATTAAAGTAATTCTGAATTGTGATAACTTTTTTTTTTTTTTTGAGATGGAGTTTCACTCTTGTCATCCAGGCTGGAGTGCAGTGGCGTGAGCTCAACTCATTGCAACCTCCACCTCCTGAGTTCAAGCGATTCTCCTGCGTAAGCCTCCTGAGTAGCTGGGATTACAGGCACCTGCCACCACGCCCAGCTAATTTTTGTGTTTTTAGTAGAGATGGTGTTTCACCATGCTGGCCAGGCTGTTCTTGAACGCCTGACCTCAGGTGATCTGCCTGCCTCGGCCTCCCAAAGTGCTGGGATTACTGGTGTGAGCCACCATACCCGGCTGTGATAACTTTTTAAAGAAGAATTGCCATAAATACAAAAATAAAATCATTGGTATGTATCATTCCTCTTTTTACTTAAAGCAGAGGTTTTTAACCTCAGCACTGTTGATATTTTGGAATGGATAATTCTTTGACATTTAGGACTAACCTGTGCATTGTAGGACGTTAAGTTGCATTACTAGCTTCTACTCACTAGATGGTAGTAGCACTTGGAATTGTAACAACCATTAATGTATCTAGTTATTTTCATATGTGCCTTGGAGGAGCAAAATTGCCTCCTGTTAAGAACCACAGACTTATAGTATGTAGGCGATGGCAGTGGAGAGATGTAGTGAAATTAGTAGATTGGAGAGAGATTTAAAAGGACTGAGTGATGGCTGGGAAAGTACAGATAGAAAATAAGGTGTCAAGGATGGACTCCTGTGTTTCTGGTTTGAACAACAGGGTAGATGGAAGCACTGTTTTCTGAGGTAGGGAGCCCTAAAAGTGGAGAGCTTGTTCAGGGGATAGAGTATTTCAAGGTGGTAAATATGTAGCCCCTAAACAGTGCTTGGTATGTAGTAAACACTCAATTTTTGCTGAGTAAGTGAAGGCTGACTTTAAGGTATCTGTGAGACATAAAATAGGAGATAGGTAGCTAAGGAATCATGCAGTAGGAGCTAGGTAGCTGGACCAGAGATGTAAATTTGGGAATAGAGATGGGTAAATGTACTTGGTTGAAAACTCAGGGATAGGGTATACCAGCAGACCCTACTGGAGTATTCTGTAGTATCTGAGCTGTGATATATGACATGTGCACCATATTTCTGAATTCTGAAACACATATATCTGTAAGAGTTTTGCATAAGGAATCAGACCTATGGCTTTTATTAGCCTTTCAGTCTCATTCTATTTTGCATCTTCTGTGTTTGGCACTGTTAGTCACCCCCTCTGTTGTAATGTACTGTCTTCTCAATTTCCATTGATACTGCCTGTAATGACTTTTCTCTTCTGTAAACCAACACTTACAAGTTTTTGATATTTTGATTTTAATATTTATAAGAGGAGAAAGAATATTTAGATGTCGTTTCAGAGGAAGCAATTTTTATACCATTATGACCCTATTTTTAAAATCTTGTACAGATGACAGGTTCACGGTGATGCTGCAGTTAGTATCTGATGAAAAAGTTATGAATCAGGTTTAGATTAGATTACTGTAAACGGAGGATTTATATATTACTGGCTAAAGCAAAAGTAACATCATGCTTTTCAGTTGGAAGGCTAGTAAATTCTTGTTTAGGAATAGGAAATTATTTCTTTTTCTGAAAGGCAATTGCAGTCTGTGAAGTTAACTTTATAATAATTTAGACCTACACTGTTCAGTATGACAGTTCTCAGCCACATGTGACTGTGTAAATTTAAATTAATTAAAATTTAAAACTCAGGCTGGGCACAGTGGCTCATACCTGTAATCCTAGCACTTTGGGAGGCCAAGGCGGGAGGATCACTTGAGCCCAGGAGTTTGAGACCAACCTGGGCAACATAGTGAGACCTCGTCTCTACAAGGAAATCAAAAAGTGAGGTGGGAGGATCCCTTGATCCCTGGAGGTCGAGGCTGCAGTGAGCTGTCATCATGCCGCTGCACTCCCACCTGGGCAACAGGAGTGAGGCCCTGTCTCAAAAAAAAAAAATCGGTTTCTTAGTCACACCAGCCACATTTCAGGTGCTCACTGGCCACATGTGGCTAGCAGCTACATTGGTCAGTGCAAATAGAGAACACTTCTGTCATTGCGGAAAACGATATTGGATAGTGCCGCTCTAGAGACTTACAGTTGTATAAAATTAATGTTACTCTTTTACAGTAAGTATTCAGGGAGAAAATGCTACTTGTTTATATGCTGCTGATATTTAGAATAGAATCTCCGTGTTGGGATTTGACTGTTGATGGAACAGATTAGGGTAGGTAAGATTTGCCATATGGATGAATTGCTTGTGTTAGCAATAAATAGCAGGTGGATAATTAATTTGAAAAGTGTATATTTTATTTATTTATTTATTTATTTATTTATTTATTTATTTATTTATTCATTTATTGAGATAGAGTCTTCGCTCTGTTGCCCAGGCTGGAGTGCAATGGCGTGATCTCGGCTCACTGTAACCTCTGCCTCCCGGGTTCAAGCAATTCTCCTGACTTAGCCTCCTGAATAGCTGGGATTACAGGCACCTACCACCATGCCCGGCTAATTTTGTATTAGTAGAGATGGGGTTTCACCATGTTGGTCAAGGTGGTCTTGAACTCTTGACCTCAGGTGATCCACCCACCTTGGCCTCCCAAAGTGCTGGGATTACAGGTGTGAGCCACCGCGCCCAGCTGAAAAGTGTATATTTTAATATCTTTTTGATGTCTTTTCTATTTTAGTTTATAGCCATATATATATTTTTCTGTTTGACTTTTTCTTTCTTATGTTCTTCTTATCTGTATATGCTCATTTTCTTTCTACTTAGGCCTTGGTAGTAATTAAAAATGTTTAATCGGTCAGACCTTAAGAATTTCACTCAAATACACAAGATGGGACTTAGAGCATTACTATGTATTGTCCAGTTATTTTTTATGTACAATACCATCTATTTATTTTAGCCTAGTTTTACATGGTATATATAATATATTTCTTTGACCAGCCAGGGTTTAAATATTTCAGATGAAGGATTTGGACTTCTGTAAGTACTGAACAGTTTTTACATTCTGGCCTCTCTCTGCTTTATGATAGTTTTTGCTTTATGTTCTTTATGAGATGTTCATAATGTAGTTAATGCACGTGCTATAACAGACCCATGTGCAAATTAAAATATTTTAATACATATAAACTTAATTTTTATAGCTCCCTTTAATGCTTATGTGTATGCTTTAGTCTTCTGATCCATATCTGGATAATTTACCTCTAATCTATAGTCTACTTTAGAATTCAGTGCTTTTTCCTAGTCTGTATTTTCATGTACGTTTTGAGATTTTTGAGGAAAAAAATTGAACAATTTAGGTATTAGAGACAAAGAAAAGAGTATTTAGGAATAGAATATCCTATATGCCTTAGTTTGAGCTGCCTTAACAAAATATCATAAACTGTGTGTCTGAGAAACTAAAGAAATTTGTCTTTCCCAGTTTGGGAGTGTGGACCCTCCAAGATCAAAGTGCTGAGCAATTTGGTGTCCGGCAAAGGCCTGCTTCTTTTTTCATAGTCACCATCTTCTTTTTAACCTCACATGGTAGAAGGGGCAGAATAGCTCTGGGTGTCTTCTCTAAGGGCACTAATTCCACTCGTGAGGGTTCTGCCCTCATGACCTAATCACCTCCAAAAGGACTCACCTCCAGGTATCCTCATATTGGGGATTAGGTTTCAAATATAAATTTTAAGGGAACACAAACACTCTGTGGCACTATATATTAAGACATTAATGCTTCTTAAGTAACAAAGCAGGAATTTAACTCTCACCATATTCACCCAGCATTTCTGAGAGCAGGTTTGGCAAACTATCTTTGTAAAGAACCAGATACTGAACTGTTAGCCTTGCAGGACATGCAGTCTGTGTCGCTGTTCCGGTCTGCTGTCATAGTGCAAATGTATATATACACAATATGTAAGCAAAGGAGCATGGCTGTGTTTCAGGAAAACTTTGTTTACAAAAACCGAAGGTGGATTGGATTTGGCAAATCTGTATTATAAGTAGACTCCTGCCACAGGGATTTTTAAAAAGAGCAGGAGGCAGACAGTCACTTTTCCTACTAGCTTTAAAAATATAAGTTTAAGTTTGCTAAGTGGAAATTTTAAACCTGCTTTAGCACAAATAATGAAATATATGAAGTTTGTTTATTAATGACCTATTATGAATTATTGTTCCAAAGCAGGTGATTTCTAAAAAGGTGGTTGAAATGTTTGCCTTCCTCTTGGTATAGCTTTTGTGTAAAAGGGAAGTAAAATAATGCAGGGCATGAAGTTTAACATTTCAAGTGAGATGTATTTATTCAAAACAATATGAAAGAAGTAGTTAAATCACAGGATGTAAGAGCAATATGCAAAAATCAGTGTTGTGTCCATATAAAAGAAATGAATAGTCTAAAATTTTTAAAAATCTATTCACAATAGCATCAAAAAGAACAATATGCTTAGGAATAAATTTTAAAAAGAAGTGCAAGAGCTACACTGGAAATAAAAAGCATTGCTGAGAGAAATTAAAGAAGATCTATTAATAAATAAACAGAGGCATACACCATATTTATGGGGGACTCAAATCTTGTTAAGACGGCAATTCTTCCACATTTGAGCAATAGGTTCATTGTAATCCCTGGCAGAATTCTAGCAGGATTTTTTTTTTTTTGAGACAGAGTCTTGCTCTGTCACCCAGGCTGGAGTGCAGGGGCACGATCTCAGCTCACTGCAACCTCCACCTCCCCTGGCTTCAAGTGATTTTATAGAAATGAACAAGCTGATTCTAAAACTTAAATGGAAACACAAAGGATCTAGGATAGTTTAAAAAAAAAAAAAAACAGAGGAAAAAAGTTGAAGGGCTTACACTACCGCATTACAAAACTTACCATAAAGCTACAGTCATCAAGACAGTGTGCTAATAGTGTAGAGATAGACATGTTAATTAGTTGAGTAAAATATGGTCAAAGATTGTTGACAAATGTGCTAGGACAAGTCACTGGGGGAAGGATTATCTTTTCAACAGATGATGTGGTAACAATTGTATATATACACATGCAAACAAATAAATAATAAATCTTGAGGTCCACCTCAGAACATACACAGAAATTAACTCAAAATAGACCAGAAACTTACAAGTGAGAAAAAACTGTACAACCTGTAGGAAAAAATAGGAGTAAATATTTTTGACATTGGATTAGCAAAGATATGACATTAAAAGATATGACATTATTTTTTTGAAGACATGACAAAATAAAAGGAAAATTAGTAGTTTGGACTTCATTAAAATAAAAAAAAAACTCTTATGAAGAAGACACCATTAACAAAATGAAAAAAACAAGCCATAGACTAGGATAAAATACTTGAAAAATTCATATCTGATAAAGTATTGTACCCAGAATATTTAAAGAACTAAATAAGCAACCCAGTAAGCAGACGGCAAAAGACTTGAATCGACATTTTATCAAAAAAGATATATAAATGGAAAGTAAGCTTATGAAAAGATATACTCAGCACCATTAGTGATTGGCAAAATGCAAATAGAAACGAAAGTGAGATACCACTTCACATCCAGAAAGAGTGGCAGTACCAAGTGTGGGTGATGCTGTGGGAAAGTGGAACCCTCACATGTTGCTGGTGGGAATACAAAATGGAGCAGCCACTGAGGGAAAGAGTTTGTAGTTTCTTAAAAAGTTAAACTTTTACTTACCATAAAACCTAGTATTCTACTCCAAAATAAATGGAAACATATCCTCATGAAGACTTGTATGTGAATGGTTATGGCAGTATTGTTCATAATAGCCCAAATTGGAAACAACCCAAATGTTCATCAGCTATGAGTGAACTGTGGTACATCCACACAGTGGAATACTAGTGAACAGTGACAAGGAATGTGCCACGTGCCACAACATGGATAAATGCTCAACTCCACATGCTGAGTGAAAGAAGCTAGACACAAGACTAGTTTATATGATCCCATTTATATGAAATTTCTACAAATGACAAAACTAGTGACAGCAAGTAAGTCAGTGGCTGCCCAGGGGCTAGAGGTAGGAGACAGGATTAACTGCGGATGGGAATGAAGGAACTTTTGGGGTGATGGGAGGATTCTAAACTTGGACTGCAGTGTCAATTCACTAAAACACATTGAGTTGTACACTTAAATTAGGTGAGTTTTATGACATGTAAATCTACCTTGAAGCTGAAGAATAAAAGATAAATATTATAAAGGGAGATGTAACGAGGAATATCAGTACTAAAATAAAATTGAGGCACAGCTTGAATGTTGGTTTAAGGATTTTGTATATTTGCTCATTTAAGCAAATGTATAGATGTTTATATGCATCTGTATTTTTTTGAGTTTAATTTTAAGAATGAAGGATCAAAAGGAACATTGACCTTCAAAAGAGGGTGCCCTTGAAGGAAGGAGATGTAGATGTTGAGGGGGAGGCATGATCCTTCACATGTTGGAAGGGAGTAGTTCTTTGGTGTGCTGAGATGGAGTACCACCTGATGAAATAAGAAAAGGTACACATGGCCCAAGGAAGGATGACCTTAGTTACAGTGAGAATATTTAACAATGTGATTTGTGGAATATTGCATTTGTCATTGGAAATATATAAATAGATGCTGAGGGGACATTTTGTTTTGGATGCCGTAGGAGATTTTGCCAGGTGGCTTCTACATTCTCTTCTGGTGGTCATTCCTAACAAGCCACAGGGGGAGTTGCTGAGCCGCCGATGTCATCTGTTCAAGAGTGCCTTTCCCTTAAATCCATAAAGAACTAAAGAAAATTGAAAAGTTCTATCATTTCAATATTGGTTTTTTCCCTTTTCTCTGCCTTTTATGCCTTAGTTCATCCATTCTTTCTCTTTGTTTTTTATCCCCCATCAAAACATGTGGAAGGGGAGTGGTAGCCGATTGTGTGTCCTGCTGACGGCTTTACTCCTGGAGAGGTGGTGGCACCTCATTGTATAAATAAACAAATGGAGACTGAGTTATTATGTATTTTGAGGCCATGTAGCTTAGGGGTCCTGGTCCCTGGCCTTTTAACAACCTGGTTGTACAGCAGGAGGTGGTGAGTGGGCATTAGAGCAGATTCATGTGTGTTTACAGCTGTTCCCCGTCATTCGCATTACGGCCTGAGCTCTGCCTACTGTCAGATCAGCAGTGGCATTAGATTCTCACAGGAGCGTGAACCCTGTTGTGAACATGCTTGTGGTGCATGCAGGGGATCTAGGTTGTGTGCTTCTTATGAGAATCTAATGACTGATGATCTGTCACTATCTCCCATCACCCCCAGATGGGACAGTCTAGTTGCAGGGAAAGAAGCTGATGCCTCTCACTGATTCTACATTATGGTGAGTTGTATAATTTCATTATATATTACAATGTAATAATAACAAAGTGCACAGTAAATGTAATGTGCTTGAATCATCCCAAAACCATCCCCTCCAACAATGAAGAAAAATTATCTTCCACGAAACTGGTCCCTGGTGCCAAAAAGGCCGGGGTCTGGTGGTATAGCTAGGAAACAGTGGAAACTGGATTTGAATCTGTATCTGTTCTACTCTGAGCATGGTGTTTTTAAGTAATCTAATTTCATTTGGCTGAAATTTATTCAAACTGTGTGTCACAGGCAGTTTGCCCTTTATTTCTCTTTATGAAATGAAAAACTATTGCTGTTAAAGGAATTAAAGGTATCAGCAGACAGAATCTTTCTTGAGAGGTAGGATGAGGAAGTACAAGTCAGTTTCTTTTTCTTGATTTTGAGAACATGCTGTGTAAAGTTTATTGTGTGTTTGTATGTGTTTTAAGATTACTCAGGGGAAATGATTAGCCAGGCGTCTTTTCTGGCCTCAGAATTCCCCAGGGGATTGTGTCCTCTGAAAAGCATCCACCAGAGCCTTTTTCCTAGGACCTGTGTGGTGCGGAGGGTCCGAGAGCGTTTTTGGCCTGTCTCTCTGTCACTGCAGCCTGGCATAAGCTTGCTTGCTTCAGCGTACATCCTGAAGCTGTGCCCCAGCCCTGATCACCTTGTCCTAGAGCCTCCCTTCATCCCTCTTTCACAAGACATCTTTCACCTGTGCTCCCCACTGTGGTTGATGCCATCTGACTCTGTCCTTCCATTTTCTTTGGCCTCAGCACTCACAGGATATCTGACTCCAGGCCAGGAGGAGTGAGCAGCAGGATTTACTTGAGGGCCACTTCGCTGGAGCTTCGGTCCTCCATCAGATTCAGCTGTGGAGTGTGTTCCTCAGGCACAGAATGTGGGCGTGGTGGACAAGTGGAGTGTGTCAGAGTAGGAAAGGACAGAATTGAGGTTAAATCCCTGAGATGCATGAACATCAGTCTCAATTTATAGAAAGATCTCTTCACTCTTTTGTGGTAGACAGAATTCCAGTAAACGCTGTGAATTGTGAAATCAGGCCATTTGTTTATTTGTTCATTCATTTATTCATCTTATTTATTAGACCAACTTCGCACCCCTCTCTTACGTCCTAGGCACTGTCTGGCAGCTTCCCCGCTGAGGAGTTCAGTATGGTGGGAGGCATGTGAACACACATTTTAATACTGTGTGCTAAGAGCTCTGGTAGGAGAGAGTTTGTAAGAATAACTAACCCAACTAGCAGCAAGCAACTCAGGCAACAGCTTCCTGCGGGATGTCATGCGTGAATTAGATACGAGGACCCCAAGGAGCTGAAGAGGTAACATGGGAGGATTTTACTGCAGGGTGGACAGCACAGGCAAAGGCATGGAGGCATGAAACAGCATGGCGTGGAAGCACTAGCAGCTTAATAAATAGCCTGATTAGAGGGGGCAGTTTGTGTGTGTGTGTGTGTGTGTGTGTGTGTGTGAGAGAGAGAGAGAGAGAGAGAGAAAAGAACAGGCAAGCGTGTGAGCTGGTGGGGGTGGGGTGACACATCTCAAGGCACGCTTTCCCAGTCCTTCCTTCTCCTTTGGCTGAAGTATATTGTTTGGGTGATAGTTTCCCTTTCCTGTCAAATGAGAAACAAATATATCAAATATGTTTCATGTGCTAAGGGATATCGACATAGGGCTAAATTCTTCTTTTATCTGACTGTTATTTAGTATATATGTCTTAAAAATGGACACAGGTGTGCCTTGCCTATAAAAAAAGTATGGTCTGGCTTTGGGAACAATTCCTGCATGCATCTTGATGTGTGCCACAACCAGCAACATTTAAATAAGGCTCCATGGGTAGGTATAATCTGTGTGCATGGACTTTGCTCACATAGAAATTCAGCTCACTGGTACATCGTTGTTTGACATTATCTTGCTTACTTTTTAGTCTGTCCTTCCCATGCACTGTGAGTGCTGTGGGAGGGATGGTCCTGCTTGTCTTAGGTACTGCTCCATCCCAAGGGCCTCACAGAGTGCCTGGTATATGGTAGCTTCTCACTGAATACTTGTAAAGAATGAGTTTATGAGACAGCCTGTTTTTGTTTACCCTCTACCACCCCCTTTGCCTTGTTCTCCATGACTGTTCTTTCTTCCTCTCTGGAAAATATTGTCTCTTTTTTTCCACAGGCGTTTTTCATCCTGTTCTCTCTGCCTAGAGTTTCTCCTGTCTTCTCCATCCCCTCTCTCTTCCTGATCTTTCAGATTTCACATTAAGTATTACACCCTTAGTGAATCTTGCCTTGATCTCTCAAGCTAGGACAGATGATTTACACACACTCTCACGGAATTGTTTTCCTTTCCTTCTGTGAATTTATCTCAGTTTTTAATGATAAATGTTTGAGAGAGTTACTTGAGTAATGTGTTCTGCCCCCATTGACTGCAACTTCTATGCACCTATTTTATTTTCTGAATATAGTCAGTACTAAGAGATTGTATGTTCTCAGTGTTTACCGGTGGATGAATGAGTGATGATGTGCTTCTACATGAGAACACACCCTGTCCAAGGAGGCTCCTAGAGCTCTTGCCTCCCAGCTATAGCCTCTGTCTCCCTTAGAATGCTGGGTGCACCTCAGGGCCTGCCCCATGGGGATCTTGTGAACAGCCACTGTAGCACTATAAATTCTCTCTTGTTTCTTTTCTATGCCCCGGAACAATGTCTCCTCTCTGATTCTTGTACCTGGAATATCTGTTGCTGGTCTATACTTCACTCTCTGTTCCTAGAGAAGAAGCATAGGGCTGGAAAGGAGGGAAGGGCTGAATGTAGGGAGCCTCACCACTTAGGTTGTGGAAGAGGAGAGGGAAGAGAAATGTGTTTCAGGCATAGCCAATTGGAAAAAGACATTTTTTCTAGAGAAGATAGCACAGTGTGGCCAGGTTCTTTTATATTGGAGTGTGTTAAACAAGTTTTTGTGGATGGGTGTGGAAACGCAGGTGACCTTTGTGTATTTTGTTCTTTGTCTTCTAACTTTTCTGTGGGAAAAATTTGTTTTGAGTTCCAAAAATTAGTCTCATATTTCTGGAACACAGCACGAGAGAACTGCCAATATTCAAATATAAACAGCAGAAACATGGGATGGTTAAAGTGGGAAGAGTGGACACCTATTAACCTTGGGAAGTTAAGCTGAAATACTTTCTTTATAACTTGGAAGTAATTTTTAATGATGTAAATGACCCAAAGAAAACATGTAAAAGATGGAAGTATATGCAGCAAAATTGCATAAATCTAATGGGTTGCCAAGCTGTGTATGGGATTATATTGTAAGAACTGTAATTTTAAAGTGATTTTAAACATACCATCGTGTGGCTTAGCTGCCCACCAATTTGAACAAATACTTACTGTGTGCCACAGTATTTCCAGAAACTCAAAGGAGATGGGGCGCTTATTCTTTGAAACACACAGTTGAGAACATTAAGACAGTGATTCCTCCAACACATGATTACTGTTACAAAAGAGGGGTATACCATAAGCTGGGGTAGGGGTGGGGGGGATCTGGGAGGGAGCAACTAATGTGGAAAGCAGTAAAACCCAGACTATGTATCAGCCACTGACTGTGTATTTAGTAGACTAAAACAGTTGGAAACAGAGTACAGATATTTGGTATTAAGTAGAATTCCGGTAACATATATTTAACATATTGGGGCATATTGTGATATTTTCCTCGGAAGTCTGCTTTATTGATGATAAAATGGAACAGTGGACTAGAACATGAAAAAAGACTGAATTCAAACTCTGACTTACGTGTGGTGGCCTTAGTGATTGATTTTATGCGATTAAGGGAAGAAACCTTGCTTAAGATGACTTTATGTCTCAACTATCCTTAGTATTCCATGTTGACCCTAAATGTCAATTTATTTATCTTTTGGGAAACAGTGATAACTTTAGACACTTGGTTGCATGTGGTGTGTGTGCATCAGCAGCTGTGGCAAACCCCGACCCTGCCCGCCACCAGGAGCATGGACCCCTGGCCAGATGCTGCCGGGCACCTTATTCAGGAAGTCAGCCCAGCAGCTGTAGGAGGGCAGGAGCTGGTGCTCAGCCCCATCCCAGTGGCTGCACAGTGCCCAGTGCCAGGATCCCTCGCTTTGGGCGCTTGTCCAGGAGGAAGAAGGGGGTGGTGCAGTCAAGCGGGCCCTGGGGCAGGCCTGGCCCAGCGCTCCGTTCTTGGGAGCCCTGCCAGCCCACAGGCCCATCTGCGGCAGGCACGTGGTGCCGCGAGAACTTGGCTCAGGGACGGTTTTTCCGCCATGCGCAGATTCTCGCCTCTCGCGGGGGCGCCAGGGGGCAGCTGGTTGAGGTGCGCATGCGCACTGGCACCTAACGGCTCTTCTTCGAGTCTTCTCAGAGGTTGGAGATTCCCTGTCTTCTCCAACCTCTGCCAAGTCTTCAGAGAGGTTGGAGTGCGCCTGTCGGAGGTCGGGGCCAGCCCACCTTGCTCTCTGGTGCTGGGCTGGGTGGGGTCTGGGTGGGGGTTGGGCAGGGGGAAGGGCGAGGGCAAGTTGTGGCCTCTCTGAAGCTGGTAGCGGGGCCACAAAGATAGTGGCTGTGGAGAGCCACAAGGGCCAGGTGCCCTTGAGCAACTTGGGTAACCATATCTTTACTGACGTCAGGTACTAGACCCCAGATGAGGATCTCAGGAAGATCCACAAAGCTGCGTCCAGGGGAACGAACGTGTGGAAGCTGCAGCGGAGCCTCCTGCTCAAGAGTAAAGGACCGGTCTGAAACCTACAAGAACAGGTGTCGGGGGCTGCAGGCTGCGGGCTGCGGGAGGAGGTGGGCGGGTGGGGAGAAGCACCCCCTTCAGAGTTGGGGCTTGGGGAGTGGGGGCGAGGGGAGGCATGGAAAGAATGGGTGTGCGGAGCGGGCCGTTCTGGTGCCCAGGGTGCTGGGCTTTCTTCCCGGACGGGCTCCGCAGCGCCTGAGATGTGGACGCCTTGGAGGCGGAGGGCCCGGGCCATCCTTATGAGCAGCAAAATAAACCCAAAACTTTAGCTGGTTTCTGACTCACCCACAGTTCCTCTTACAGAGCACTTCAGAGACAATTTTAAAGTGATTTAATTAATAAAAGTATGTACAGTGTTTTATTTTTTATGTATACAGTTTAAAATATAATGTTAGATACATTATAGAAAGAAGCATAATGAAAGAAATAATTTCCATAATATATCGCCTTCTGGGCTAAGAACATTTTGGGTAAAATCCAATATTTTATATCAATGAATTCTTATGTAAATATGTTCTTTGCGGAGGGACCTTAGAAGGAAACTTTGAAGTGGGAAGATTGTTTATGTTCTCGAATAAGACGACTCATTTTTCTCAAGGTGTGAGTTCTCTATCAATTTTACATAAATAAATTTATCAAAGTTAACATTTTTGAAATACACATGCTTTTAGTATTGTGGTAGCATTAAGAAAATTTTTGTAATGGAGTTAAAATTTTAGTTTTCTATATATCAAAATATGCTATCAATTTTCACTAATAGTTTGCTACCAGCTGAAAAGACAGGTAAATGAATGCAGGAGAATAGAAAATCCAGAAACACCCAAATATGTGTAAGAATTTATAGCATGGTAATGGTGAGACTTTATACAAGTAGGAAAAGATGAATTATGTTTATAAATGAAATGCCTGCCTTGTGGAGAAAACAAGCTAGATTTTTATGTCAACAAAACAAGTTCCTCATGGAATTTAGATTAAAAAATTTAAATATACAAAATTAGAAAAAATTATAAAAAATACCAGAAGAAAACACAAATGCCTATTTATATAGATAGATTATGATGTTAACAAAGACCTTCCTAAGAACCTCACAAGCAAGCATTCCGAAGGTTTAATTTAGCAAAATTAAAATTAAGTCTGTATATGACAAAAAGCAAAAGACAACATACTTGTAAAATACTTACCGTGTGTGTGTGTACATATTATATCAGAAATAGATCTTTATTTTACAGATAATTCTTTCAGATCGACGTGAAAAGAACTCTAAAATTGGGCAAAGTATTTTTTTCAGCTCTGCAAGTGATTTATGCACTTAGGAAAAATTAGTGTTCCTGGTAAGAGAAGGAATTTAATTTAAAAGCGGAATGAAATACTGTTTTCTAGCTACAAAGTTTGTAAGGATGAAGAGCAGTGATATTTACACTACTGCTTAAAGTTTAAGTTGCTGATGACTTTTTAAATAGACAATTTGATTGTAAGTAGCACATTTAGAAAATGTTTATGCCCCTTACCAATCAATTCTATTATACTAAAATATATTTAGGAAACAATGAGAGATATATGCAATTTGATTTTTTCAGCAGTGCTTAAAATATTATTGTATTAAAAAGAGTCCATATAGTGGAAGTCATAAATTTGTGGATTAGAGTATTCTGTGAACTTTTAGCACCTTCAGAAGTGAAGAGAACCTTTTTATCTGTGTTTGTTGATTTATATACTTTTTTTTTCTTTCTTTCTTTGAGACAGAGTCTCACGTTCTCGGCTCAATGCCACCTCTGCCTGCCGAGTTCAAGCTATTCTCATGCCTCAGCCTCCAAAGTAGCTGGGATTACAGCCATACATTATGACGCCTAGCTAAATTTTTTTATTTTTAGCGGAGATGTAGTTTTAGTTTTGCCATGTTGGTCAGACTGGTTTTGAACTCCTGGCCTCAAGCAGTTCACCCGCCTCGGCGTCCCCAAGTGCTGGGATTACAGGCGTGAGCCACTGCGCCCAACCTATATATACATTTTATTAGACACATATGTTTGTATTATATATAGATTTATTTCCTATATGGCAATCATTATAGATTAATAATTTTAGTTTAGTTTTATTATGAAAATAAAAATAGCAAGTATAAGTGATTATTACCATTGCACAAATATTGCTTTATTTGTAGTAGTTTTTTAAAATATCGAACGTCACAGCGGTATTTATCCATTTTTAAAAATCCATTTATTTGGCCAAGAGTGGTGGCTCATGCCTGTAATCCCACACTTTGGGAGGCCGACGCAGGTGAATCACGAGGTCAAGAGATCTAGACCATCCTGGCCAACGTGGTGAAACCCCATCTCTACTAAAAATACGAAAAGTAGCCTGGCGTGGTGGCGTGTGACTATAGTCCCAGCTACTCTGGAGGGTGAGGCAGGAGAATCGCTTGAACCCGGGAGGCAGAGGTTGCAATGAGCCAAGGTCACGCCACTGCACTCCAGCCTGGTGACAGAGTGAGACTTTGTCTCAAAAAAAAAAAAAAAAAAAAAAAAAGAAGAAAAAAGAAAATCCATTTATTCATCACCTATAAGCTGAATACCTGTTGTATAGAAGACATATTCTGCTAACTCTCAAGACCCTTCCATCCTTAAAAATTTCATGTTTACCTTCCCAGCCTGAGAGCAAGCTGAGAGGTTTAAAATTGGAGTATTAGGACTGAATCGCAATTGAAGCTTTTTTCCTTGTTTTTCAAACAAAAGCATTTCTGATGTGAGAAAGCAGTATACATTTTACTTTAAATATCAATATTTTAAAAGAAGTATTAGAGAGTATGCCTTTCTTTTATGCATTTACGATACATATTTGAATTTGTTAGAGTTAAAACATTTTTTTCAAAAAGTTTTTCACCCAGGATTTTTTTTTCTTTCTAACCTACTGTAAAACAACACAGGAAAGCAAAATTGGCCGGCATAAATTGAATCAACATGTAAAATTTAGGAGACATGCAAAAATCTGTATTTCACGCTCCTCTTAAACAATCAATTCTGGTTTCCCTTGAGCCCATATTACTGTTTGGTGTGCTATGAAGAGGCTGTAGATTAAAGTAAGTCTATGTTCTCTAGTTTGTCACTGTGCCCACCTAGGTACGTCACTTACTCAGGTCACACCCTTTACCTCTGTAAATATTTTAGTTAACAATTCCTGTCGTATTGTAAAGATTTCAAGGTTTTTAAGACAGTTGAAAATTATAGTATGTAGTTATATATTAATCCCTTAATAATGGAGTTGACTTTTAGAATTTAGAAGTTGTTTGTTAAAACAACGATTTTTCTTTATGCCATAAATAATCATCTCATTAGAATGTTTATAAGCCTTTTTAGGTTAATCGTTGTTATATTTGGATAGGTTATGAATATTGCAGAAAAGATATCTTTCTCCTGAGCGTTGTCCCTTAAAATCGAAGTGATTTAGTCGCTTTTATTATGTCAAAATAATCCATATAGATAGGGTAGAATTTTTATTGATAAGTCATTGTATTTGTAGTTTTGATATTTTGCCAAAAATAGTAAGTAATTTTAAGTAGCAATGGAAATAGATACCAGAATAAAAATGGATTAATGCATTTGAATAAGTAGATGTGCATTGGGGTCTTAGGATTATCATTATAATTGAGAATAAAATTTCATACTGAACTTTCTAACAGCTAAGAGAAAATTCTGTCATCTTGTATAGAACAAATCCCATGGACCATTCAATTATTTATAAGCAATCGAAGTTCATTTGAAGCCAGACTCTTTTAATTTAGAGCCCATTTCCTTAGCGACTTATTTGGAGCAGGAGGGCCTGACTTTGGCATTTGGGATCCTGGGACCATTGATAGAATCAGGCAAGTTTGTGTCACCTGGAGGAAACCTCCACCTTTATTGGAAAGCTTTAAAATTGTTTTCCTGAAGTTTTAATTCCTCAAATAGTAATGTTTGCCACAAAAAAGTATTTTCAAATAGGGAATAGGCAAAGTTCAAGACATTTCTTGAATACTGAACAAATGATTCACAGTTTTACAATATTTCTCAAACGTAGATGATCATAGGATCTTTCTGTTGGGGTACAGTCTTTAACTTCTGGTAAAGTAAACTTCTGCCATTTTGAAAATTTATAACTGTCTTAATGGTAATATTAATCTCATATGTTACATGAATTCTATACATCTAAATACTAATTTGCATACATTCTGTAAATCTACTGAATAAAATGAGCCATTCTTATTTGAATCCTGACTTTCCTTTGGCTTAAAGTTTTTAAAAAATTAAAGTAAAAATGACTGTGTTTTAAAAATTTGTTTCAGTATTTCAACCCTTTTTTTTCCATAGCACTTTTAAGAGCTAAAATTGATTTAAATGTTAGCCATATGACTAGGACTGCTATTGTCCTGTTGTGTATACTGTACTCTACTTAATGTCACCGTGGATTATGTGATGCCTCTATTTTATGTATCAATAAAAGAATGTTTAAATGCTGCCAAATATAGTTGTAAAAATAATGAATTATAAATAGGATTTCAGCATCAGATCTGTTAAAATACGAGAAACTGTGCACCTTAGAATCATTGAAATACGGTGTTATCTCTAACCTTTGAAACATACCTCAAAGGAGGTATAATTGTACCATTTTACTTAATTAAAATGTTGTCTTCATTAAGTAGTAGTAATAATTATAATATCTAACAATTATTGAGCCATTATTTGTGCCAGGAACTGTTACAAATACTTGGCATAGATTCCCAATTAGGTATCACAGTGATGTCCTGTGAGATAACTACTATATTCATCTCCACGTTATTGATGAGAAAATTGAGGCACAGAAAGGTTAAGTGATAGCTCATAAATGAAAGACTTTAATGTAGTATTCAAGCTCAAGTTGAACTGAATCCAAAAGCCAAAAACTTTCTAGTCAAATGGGCTACTCTTTTATTAATGTAGTGACTAATACGAGCTAATAAGTGTTGCACTTTCTTCAGGGGCAAATTAGATGTTTCGAAGGCAGAGGAAGGGCATGCTATTTAATGTTTACAATCACATGAATCATGTATGTATGTCTTGAGAGAGTAGGCTAAACTTCCCTGGAAAATTCTTTCAGTCTTGTAGGACTGTTCTACATTTGGCCTGTGCCAATGATGTTCCAGAAGTGGTAACTTTTCTGGCACATAGAAAGTGCCAGCTTAACATCTGTGATAGTGAAAACAGGGCACCTCTGATGAAGGTACATAGTGGCCAATTTTTTCAGCATGAGATGAATTTGGCTGAAATACACAGAATAAAAATGAATTTATCTCACCGAAATATCCACAGTTTGTGAAACGTGGAATGTGTATATTGATTGTTTAGAACTTAAAATTTCTTGGACTAATACTGATAGGTTATTCAATGCCAATAAGATGTTTTTGCAACTATTCTGCTCGACTTTGGTGCTGATCCAAATGTTGTAGATGTCTGTTGCAACACTGCTCTCCACGACGCTGTCTATAGTAAGAATATACAAAAGGTAGCAAAACTGCTTTCACACAACCCAGACATTGAAGTGAAAAACAAGGTAGAGATCAACCAATGTTATTTTCAAAATATTTGAAATCCATTTGTGTAGGGGTGGGTTGCCCTTCCACAGCTGTGGGTGTTTCTTGTAAGGTGGGACGAGAGATTTGGAAAAGAAAAAGACACAGAGACAAAGTATAGAGAAAGAAATAAGGGGACCCGGGGAACCAGCGTTCAGCATATGGAGGATCCCGCCAGCCTCTGAGTTCCCTTAGTATTTATTGATCATCTGTGGGTGTTTCTCGAAGAGGGGGATGTGTCAGGGTCACAAGACAATTGTGGGGAGAGGGTCAGCAGACAAACACGTGAACAAAGGTCTTTGCATCATAGACAATGTAAAGGATTAAGTGCTGTGCTTTTAGATATGCATACACATAAACATCTCAATGCTTTACAAAGCAGTATTGCTGCCTGCAGGTCCTACTTCCAGCCCTAAGGCGGTTTTTCTCTATCTCAGTAGATGGAGCATACAATCAGGTTTTATACCGAGACATTCCATTGCCCAAGGACAGGCAGGAGACAGATGCCTTCCTCTTGTCTCAACTGCAAGAGGCATTCCTTCCTCTTTTACTAATCCTCCTCAGCACAGACCCTTTATGGGTGTCGGGCTGAGGGACAGGTCAGGTCTTTCCTTTCCCACGAGGCCATATTTCAGACTATCACATGGGGAGAAACCTTGGACAATACCTGGCTTTCCTAGGCAGAGGTCCCTGCGGCCTTCTGCAGTTTTTGTGTCCCTGAGTACTTGAGATTAAGGAGTGGTGATGACTCTTAAGGAGCATGCTGCCTTCAAGCATCTGTTTAACAAAGCACATCTTGCACCGCCCTTAATCCATTTAACTCTGAGTTTGACACAGCACATGTTTCAGAGAGCACGAGGTTGGGGGTGAGGTCACAGAATCTCAAGGCAGAAGAATTTTTCTTAGTACATAACAAAATGGAGTCTCCTATGTCTACTTCTTTCTACACAGACACAGTAACAATCTGATCTCTCTTGCTTTTCCCCACACATTTGTTTTAACATTGTCATATGTAGGGGTCAGTTTTTCATATTTGGAAGCTCAAGCTCCCTGAGTGAAAATATTTTAAAATAACTGGGGTTTAAGCATCACTGTAACAAAGATTTGTTGGTTCAGAGTTCGAGGAGATCAGTAAAGAAAAGTAGGAGTCCAAGCCAGGTCTTGAAATCTATTAGTTTTCTGCCCTGGGTGTGATTGATGAGCTCAGAAATAGGGGATAATCATGTTATCTAATTTGATGAATTAATTTATAAATAAATTTTATTACAAATTATCAAATAGCCTAGATGCCCTGAATCACAAGCCACAAAAAAATGGAACATCTAATAACCAAAAGTAGGACTTAATAAGTTTCTGAAAACTACAACATTTGAATATTAGATCCTATGAAGAAACACACATTGGTTTTTTATAATTTATCTTTTATTTTTTGTAGTTACAGGGTCTCCCTGTTGCGCAGGCTGGTCTTGAAGTATTGAGCCCAAGTGATCCTCCTGTCTCAGCCTCCCAAAGTGCTGGTATCACAGGCGAGTCACTGCATCTGGCCAACACATTGGGTTTTATTTGGGATTTTAAAATAGTTTCAGCTATAAGCTTCAAGATTAAGTATTCCATTACTGTTTCTTTGAACAGTTTTTCAAATGTTATGTTGTTAAAACTTTGTAATAACCTACTGAAATAAGGCACTAAAAACCTCATATTAGAAGAAGACATTGAGCCTAAGAGAAGCAACTTGCTGAAGAACAAATAGGTGTTGGTTACAGAACTCAAACTTAGGAGATCAGGACATTTTCCATTACGTCAAGCTAACTCTAGTTAATTTCCTGAGCTATACTGCCCTGAATTCATGAGTATTTCACTTTGCTTTCTTCAATTTGAAGCTTAATAAGTGCATAGAGCTAATAAGTTAGAAGTCTGTGGAATAAGTAGATTTCAGATATTACCCCGACACTCTGAAATACCCTAGGAATTTAACACATTGGGTAAATTTTTAATATCAGTGTTGAAATAATACCTCAATTTATCACATATTTGATACATAGCATTTACCAAGAATGTTTGGAATCTGAAATAAAGATACCTAAAAGTCCTCAAAACAGCAATCCAGGTAAGACTTTTAATACTAAGCTACTCTTGGTGGTGCTAGCATAAGATTATTGAGTTTCGATCACAAAAAAGAAATTTAGTGTGTCAATGGTATGTCTGTGTGGCTGTGCATGTGTGTGTAAATATGTTTGTATTTATATAAAATTTTTTCTTTGAATAGTTTAGTATTCACAGTTAAGAATTTAGTTTGTAGATAGTTTATAATCTCAAAACCTATTGTCTTAAAAACAATCCTTTATTGAATTTTGTTGCCTACAATTTTAAAAAATATTTTTGAATAAATAACAATTTAAGTAAGTGAGTTATATTTTTCCTTTACTGGCATGTTCTAACGAATGAGGTTTGTGAATACGTGATGATTCCTATGATGAGCTTAGAATGATTATTTCTACTTTTGGATCTGGGGAAATGATAAAGATCCAAATAAAATTGTGTTTCTCCAGTGAGAAGAAACAATGGCTGTGGATAGGGAGCCAACCAGGTTTCCTGCAGAGATTCATGGGAAGCTTTTGAGCAGGGGAGTCAGAAGATGAGCAGTCAGTATTAGGGCATTCTGGTCATGGCACGATGCAGGGATTGGCTAGCTCTTCCTGTAAAGGGCCAGGTGGAAAACACTCATAGGTATCATGGTCTCCGTTCACGCCGTAGCAGCGTGAAAGCAGTCAGAGATGACACGTAAGCAAATACTCCCGACCGGCCTCTGGTAAAGCGTCCGTTGTGGAAGTGTTTAACAGACCTAACAACCTTTCAAACCGCATGGCATTTGTTTCCCGGGTCCCCTTTTGAGAATGTTTCTGGCAGCTTACAAGGACCTTCTCCAACGTGCTTGGGCTCTCTTGACTTTCCTAGGATCCTGAATACAGCGTCCCCAATTTGGCCTTAGGGCTCCGGGAAGCATTGGCCTTACTGTGTCCCCGCTAACCCCATTCCCATCTTGTCATGATCACCCACTGGAGAAGAGAGGAGGTGCTGGAGTGAATGGGATCGGGGGAGGCCTGTTCATCCCTGGGAGCCCGGAATGAACCGGTGTTACCATGTACCCCTGGCCTTGCCTACATCCCTGCTCTAATGGTCATGTGTTAGCCTGGGATCAGCCTTTGTCTCGGTGCTATGGATCTGTTGCGCCTGCGGCCTTGGTCCGGTCTCTGTCCTTGTGTCTGTGACATGAGAGTGACTGTGGCTGAGAGCATTCCAGCAAGACAATGATGATCTCTGCTGTCTGATTCCTGTTTCCTAGATTCTCACACTAGACGAGGAGCCTGTTTTTCAGCTAGCTGCTGCAAGGGAGCTGGAAATTTCTCCCTTCAGATAGGACCTAGAAGGTCTGAAAGCATCTGGAGAAGGGTGCGGCTGGGAGTAGAGAAACAGGCTACAGACTGAAGCAGGAGGAAGCGAGAGAGGAAGACTCATGGAAAGCCTTGTTGCGCTCGCCAAAAGAGCTGCCCTCGCACTCGAGAGGGCCATGTTTAATGCCTACCTGAAGAAAGGTAGTAACCTCTGGAGCACTTGTGGCTTGGGGTGAAAACGCGCCTGGCGTGAAGGAAGAATCTTTGCTCTTCCCAGAGGGGTGCTGACTGGAAATGAGCAAGTAGATGGGGTCCCAAAGAGCCACAGAATGAGGCCCTATGCAGGTGGTGGGACAGACTGCCCCAAAAGCCCCCTAAGAAGTTGGCCCTGGGGCGTAAGAGGAAGGCAGGGTGAAGAGCAGGAGTGAAAGCTGCTTCAGCACTTTGGAGCAGGAAGGAAAGCAAGCAAGATACAGTTGGAAGAGGGCGAAGCGGGCAACCTAAGGGACAGAGTGCAGGGTTTGACCTTCGACTTGGGGTCTCCTCCATTGGTAGGTTTTGGGGGTGGCATTGTTGCCTCTCCACTGATCCTTCCCTTGGGTGGGGCTGTTGACTGGCATCGCGGCCTGTCAGCTTGTGGGCGGGGGGTGTGACAGCCGCAATGCCATACCTGGAGGCTTAGGTGTGCTCACTTGAGGTGTACATCCTCTACCTGTCGAGTGTTCTCAGAGGAAGGAGACAGAGCTGCTGAACCCCGCCAGTGTGGCTGTCAGGGGGTCCTGTGTGAGCCCACATGCCTGACTCCTGGGATCTCAGAGGGAGGCTGCTGATGTCCACTTTCCTGCGCTTCCGTCCATTGGGAGCCTGCCCTTCCTTGGCACTGGCTGGCTGTGAGCGGTTTTCCTCCATAGATAGGGTTCAAGAACCACGTGACAGTCACCTCATGGTGGTCTGACATTCCTGATGGAGGTAGGGAGACCCCCTGGTACCATGCTCACGTCAGACCAGCTACCGTGAGTGACAGGAACGTCTGACAGGATTGCATGTTTGGCAGAAGAAACACCTGCCAGATCAGATGTGAACGTGTGGCAGAAGGCCCATCCAGGAAGATTGCACACTGGGAAGAAGGAAGACCTGAGAACGTTGGACGGACAGCAGAAGGAGCGCCTTGGGAGATTGCCCGGTGGGGTGGTGGTAGCATCTGAGAGGATTGCGGGGTGGGCGGGAGGATGAGCTGGGAAGGATGCAGGGCCTGGGAAGGTAACATATGAAGACGATTAAATATGTGGCAGGAGAAATACCTGAGAAGATGGGATGCTTGCCAGGGGAAACAAGGGACAGAGTGGAGTGTTTGGGAGAAGGGATGCTTAGGTAGATTGCACGTGTGGCCAAAGGTACATATGAGAAGGGTGAATGGCGGACAGCAGAAACGTTGCAGCCGATGGCACGGCAGTGGGGAGGAAAACGTAGGAAGCATGGAAGTGCATGGCTTGCGAAAGAAGCATCTGAAGCCATGGCATGTCTGAGAGAGGACACATCGGGCAAGATTCCACGTTTGGCAGTGGGCCCATGAGCGGAGGCAGATGCGTATGGGCCTGCGACAGTCTCGGTTCCTGCCTCCTGAGAAGAAAGTCATCAACTGAGGGGCACAAGGCAGAGGGAGAGACCGAGGCACGCATAAGAGCAGAGGCAAAAGTTCCTGAAATGGTATGGTGGCAGGAGCCAAAGGAAGTCAAGGAGGCTTGGAAGAGGCCCAGGTGGGCAGCGACCTGAGAGGTGGAGTGCAGGGCTGGACTGTGGACTTGGGGTCTCCCCCACTGGCGGCATCGCTGCCAGTCCCCTGATGCTTCCCTTGGTGGGGGAAGGGCAGTGCTGTGCACTGGCGCAGTGGCCTGTCAGCACCTTTTGGGGGGGTGCGGGTGGCAGCGCAGGCGCCGTGTGCTCACTGGAGTTGTTCGCATGGTCGCTTGAGGCGTTCCTCCTGTAAGCAGACGAATGTGCCCGAGGTAAAGGTCGTAAAGCAGTGAACCTCCCACCAGTTTGCCTCTCAGGGTGCGTACGAGAGCCCACTCACCTGACACTCGAGGTCTGCCGGAGAGGCTTCCGACGTTCCTGATAGCTGTGGGGGGTGGCGGGGCTGCCTTTCCCTGGCGCCGCGTGCGACCAGTGATATCTCTAGAGAGTCTGCTTCACGAACACCTGAGCATCACCTCGCAGCCACCTGATGTTTTCTGGTGGTGGGGAACCCTCTCGGGCCCCACTCTGCACGTGTGACTGAGAGGGACACCTGACAGGATTGAACGTGTGCCAGAAGATCATCAAACGAGATGGAGTGTCTGGGAAAGGAACGTCTGACAGCCCTGAGCATGTGGCAGAGGGAACATCTAAGCAGATTGCAGTGTTTTAGGAAGGAATGGCTAAGAACATCACATGGTCAGCAGGAGGAAACCTTAGGGTAGGAAGATTGCAGGGGTATGGTGGGGCAAGGGAACCCATGAGAAGACTGAGGGATCGGCAGTTGGACACCCTAGGCAGATTGCAAGGCCTGCCCGAGAGACATCTGGGAAGAGGAAGTATTGGGCCCACGGTGCGCCGGATAATACTGAGCACTTGTCAGGGGAAGGAATGGACGCAGTTGGCTGTTTGGCAGAAGGAACACTCAGGTAGATTGCACGTTGGGCAGAAGGCCCAAGTGTGAAGATGACATGGAAGACAGCAGAAAGCCTTTAGCAGGTCGCACGGTAGGGAGATTGCATGTGTGGCAGAAGGAACACGTGAGAAGGTTGCCATGGTGGACAGCAGAAAAATTGCAGCCGATGGCACAGCGGTGGGGAGGAAAACATAGGAAGCTTGCAAGCGCGTGGCCTGCGAAAGAAGCATCTGAAGAGATGGCATGTCTGGCAGAGGACACATTGGGCAAGATTCCACGTTTGGCAGCAGGCCCGTGAGCGGCGACAGACGCGTATGGGCCTGTGGCAACCTCGGTTCCTGCCTCCTGAGAAGAAAGACATCGAGTGGCACACGGTAGAGTGAGAGACCGAGGCACGCATTAGAGCAGGGGCGAAAGTTCCTGAAATGGTATCGTGGCAGGAGCCAAAGGAAGTCAAGGAGGCTTGGAAGAGGCCCAGGTGGGCGGTGACCTGAGAGGTGGAGTACAGGACTGGACCTTGGACTCAGGGTCTCCCGCGTCGGCAGCATCGCTGCCTGTCCTCTGATGCTTCCCTCGGCGGGGAAGAGGGGGCTGTTCACTAGCACAGTGGCCTGTCACCATCTCATGGGGGCGCGGAGGCGCCGTGTGCTTACTGGAGTTGTTCTCATGCTCTCTTGAGGCGTTCCTCCCACAAGCAGATGAATGTGCCCAGGGGAAAACATCCCAGATCAGTGAACCTTCCACCAGTTTGCCTCTCAGGGTGCACGTGTGAGCCCATTCACCCAACTCCCGAGGTGTGCTGGGGAGGCTTCTGAGGTTCGTGACTGCTGTGGGGGAGGGGGACTGCCTTTCCCTGGTGCTGCCTGTGATCAGTGATTTCTCTAGAGAGTCTGCTTCGTGACCACCGGGCCATCACCTTGCGGCTGCCTGATGTTTACTGGTGGTGGGGAACCCTCTCGGGCCCCGCTCCACACGTGTGACTGAGAGGGACACCTGACAGGATTGAACGCGTGGCAGATCATCCGACGAGATGGAGTGTCTGGTGGAAGGAACATCTGACAGCCCTGAGCGTGTGGCAGAGGGAACATCTAAGCAGACTGCAGCGATTTCAGAAGGAACGGCTAAGAACATCGCATGGTCAGCAGGAGGAAACCTTAGGGTAGGGTGATTGCAGGGGTGCTGGGGGGCAAGGGAACCCGTGAGAAGACTGCGGGATCAGCAGTTGGATGCCCTAGGGAGATTGCAAGGCCTGCCCAAGAGACATCTGGGTAGAGGAAGTATTGGGCCCATGGTGCGCCAGACAAAACTGAATGCTTGTCAGGGGAAGAAGTGGACGCAACTGGCTGTTTGGCAGAGGGAACCCTCAGGTAGATTGCACGTTTGGCAGAAGGCCCAAGTGTGAAGATGACATGGTAGACAGCAGAAACCCTTTAGCAGGTCGCACGGTGGGCAGAAGGAACCTCTGAGCAGATTCCATGGTGGGCAGACGGAATGCCTAGGAAGAGTGCGTGGCTTGCAAAGGAAGCATCTGGAAAGAGGGAACATCTGGGAGAGAAAACATCCACCAAGATGGAGCGTTTGGCGGTAGGGATGTCAGCGGTGGCAGATCCATAGGGGCCTGCAGGCAGCAACCCGAGCTCTCACCTCATCAGACGGAGTTTAACTGAGGGGCGTGAGGCGGAGTGAAAGAGACCGAGGCCTGTTTGAGCGCAGGAGTGCAGGTCTCCCAGATGATACCAGAGCAGAAAGACGAGGCAGTAAGGTATACTTGGAAGAGGGCCATGTGGGCAACTGGAGAGGTCGGGGGCACGCTTTGTTCGACCTTTGAGGCGAGGTCTCACACATTGGCAGGCTTCCAAGAGCCAGGGGTTGCATTGCTTCCTCCCCTGAGCCTTTTCTCAGGGTGGGCCATCCACATGGGCAGTGGCCTGTCATCACCTGGGAGGGACCGCAGGCGTGGCGTGTTTCCTGGAGTCATAGGGGCGCTCACATGAGGCGTGCCTCCCTTGGCAGTCGGATGTTGCCTGGGGAGGGTCGTAGGACAGTAAAACCCGGCCGGTTTGCCTGTGAGTGTGCAAGCATGAGCCCCGTCACGCGCCCCCTGAGATCTTCTCAGGGAGCTGCTAATCGCCACCTTCCGGGGTTTCTGTCTGTCTGGGGGACCGCCCGTCCCTGGCACCGGCTCCCGGCAATCATTTATTATTTGAGACAGGTAGTTTAATGGCAGCCTGACCCGTCGCCTCCTGGTCGCCTGATGTGTCTGGTGGGGTGTGGGCGTGGCCCTCTCCCGCGCTGCTCCTGTCTGACCAGCCGCCCACGGTAACACAGAAACATCTGGCAGGATGGAGTGGTTGGCGGAAGACACATCTGACGAGATCGAATGTTTTGCAGAAGAGCCATGTGACGGGATCCGTGGTTTGGCAGAGGAGACATGCGAGAAGACGGAACGTTTTGTCCGAATAGACATCTGGCAGGGTGGAACGGAGAGAACAGGTATGGTGGAGAGAACGTCTGAGAAGGTCGCAGGATTCGCAGGAGCATCGGGAAAAGATTGCCTGCTTGCCCGAAGGAATGGCAAGTTCCAAAGGTCAGAGGCTCGCGTGAACTCTGTCGGGTTCGAGAGCAGCTCAGTGTTGCTGGTGGCAAGAGTGTGGTACGGGAATGGTTGGGTGTGGTTTGAATGTCTAGAAAAGGCGAGCTGAGGGTAGATTTTTGAGCGGTCCAGAGCAGAAGGGGTAGAGGATATATTCTGTGGGCCACGGCCACATTCTCAGGATGCTCGTGGCTGTAAATAGTAGATGACCCAAGTAAGAGCGGCTGAAGCCATAGGCACCAGAATTGTGTCAGCATCGTCGTGTCATGCTCATGTTTTCCCTTCCAGCTGTGCTGTGGGCAGTGTTTAGTTCATGTCTGCTTTGCTGGCGGGCCGAGTAGCAACAGCTGCAGTTGGTGTGTTCTCTGAAGGCAGTATCCGAAGGCTGGAGGGGTTGCTTTTCTTCCCAGGTGTCTTTTGAAGAGGCAGTCAAGTCAGCAGCTCGCGGTGAACTTCTGGTAACATCGTATGGGCTGGGTTACAGCACATGCCGACTGCTAAGCCGGTCACTGGGGAAAACCATGTGATTGCTGTGATGAGCTTAGAATGATCATTCCTCCTTCGGGAGCTGGGGTGGGTTGAGGGAGTGATAAAGATCACGATAACCTTGCATTTCTCCAGCGAGAAAGAAGAAAGAAATTCCGTGGATAGGGAGCCAGCCAGGTTTCCTGCAGAAAATCATGGGAAGCTTTTGAGCAGGGGAGTCAGAAGATGAGCGGTGAGTATTAGGGCTTTCCGGTCACGGTGTGACACAGGGATTGGCCAGCTCTTCCTGTAAAGGGCCAGGTGGGAAGCACTCGTAGGCCCCGTGGTCTCTGTCGTGTCTGCTGAAGCCTGCCGTAGTAGCGTGGAAGCAGTCAGAGATGACGTGTAAGCAAATGGTCCCGACTGACCTCCGGTAAAGCATTGATTCCGGAAGCATTTAACAGACCTAACAACCTTTCAAACCGCATGGCGTTTCTTTCCCGGATCCCGTTTCAGGAACGTTTCTGTTGGCTACAAGGACCGTCTCCAACATGCTTAGGCTCTGTGAACTTTCCCAGGATCCTGAGTAGGGTATCCGCCATTCGTCCTTAGGGCTCCGGGATGTCTCGTTCTTACTGTGTCCCTGCCAACCCTGGTCCCATCTCGTCATGATCACCCACTGCAGAAGAGAGGAGGTGCTAGAGTGAACAGGGTCAGGGGAGCCCCGTTCATCCCCAGGGTCCCAGAATGAACCAGTGTTACCATGTACCCCTGCCCTTGCCTTCCTCCCTGCTCTAATGGCCGTGTGTTAGCCGGAGATCAGTTTGGGTCTGGGTGCTATGGGTCTGTTGCGCCTGTGGCCTTGGTCCGGCCTCTGTCCTTGTCTCTGTGAAATGAGAGTGACTGTGCCTGAGAGCGTTCCAGCAAGACAATGATGATCTCCACTGTCTGATTCCCGCTTCCCAGGTTCTCACAGTAGACGAGGAGCCTGTTTTTCAGCTAGCTGCCACAAGGGGGCTGGAAATTTCTCCCTTCAGAGTGGACCTGGAAGGCTTGGAAGCATCTGGAGAAGGGCATGGCCACGAGTAGAGAAATCCAGGCTACAGGCAGAAGTGGGAGGAAGCGAGAGAGGAAGACTCATGGAAAGCCTTGCTGCACTCGCCAAAAGAGCTGCCCTCGGACTCAAGAGGGCCACGTTCAATGTCAACCTGACATAAGGTAGTCACCTCTGGAGCACTTGTGGCCTGGGGCAAAAACACAGCTGGATTGAAGGAAGAGTCTTCCCTGTTCCCAGAGGGGCACTGACTGGAAATGAGCATGAAGGTGGGGTCCCTAAAGGGCCACAGAACGAGGCCCTATGCAGGTGTCGGTACAGACTGCCCCAAAAGCCCCCTGAGAAGTTGGTCCTGGGGTGTAAGAGGAAGGCACAGTGAAGAGCAGGAGTGAAAGCTGCTTCAGCACTTTGGAGCAGGAAGGAAAGGAAGTGAGATACAGTTGGAAGAGGGCGAAGCGGGCAACCTGAGGGATGGAGTGCAGGGTTTGACCTTCGATTCTGGATCTCCTCCATTAGCAGGCTTCCGGGGTGGCGTTGTTGCCTCTCTGCCGATCCTTCCTTCGGGTGGGGCTGTCGACTGGCACCACGGCCTGTCAGACCGTGGGCGGGGGGCGTTGCAGGCACAGTGCGGTTCCTAGTCTTAGGCATGCTCACTTGAGGCGTTCTTCCCCTACCTGTCGACTGATCTCAGAGGAAGGAGACTGAGCTGCTCAGCCCTGCCGGTGTGGCTGGCAGGGTGTCCCGCATTAGCCCATGTGCCCGACTCCTGGGATCTTACAGGGAGGCTGCTGATGTCCACCTTCCAGTGCTTCCGTCCGTTGGGAGCCTGCCCTTCCTTGGCGCCGGCCGGCCGTGAGCGGTTATCCTCCATAGATAGGGTTCAAGAACCGCCCAACCGTCACCTCATGGTCATCTGACATTCCTGGTGGTGGTAGGGGGACCCCCTGGTTCCATGCTCACATCAGACCAGCTACCTCGAGTGACAGGAACGTCTGACAGGATTGCACATGTGGCAGAAGAGCATCCGAGAAGGATGAAGGTTTGGCAGAAGAAACACCTGCCAGATCAGACGTGAATGTGTGGCAGAAAGCCCATCTGGGAAGATTGCACACTGGGCAGAAGGAAGAGCTAAGAACGTTGTACAGACAGCGGAAGGAGTGCCTGTGGAGATTGCCCGGTGGGCGGTGGTAGCATCTGAGAGGATTGCGGGGTGGGAGGGAGGATGAGCTGGGAAGGATGCAAGGCCTGGGGAGGCAACATGTGAAGACGATTAAATATGTGGCAGGAGAAACACCTGAGAAGATGGGATGCTTGGCAAGGGGAACAAGGCCCGGAATGGAGTGTTCGGGAGAAGAGACGCTTAGGGAGATTGCATGTGTGGCAGAAGGAACACGTGAGAAGGTTGCCATGGTGGACAGCAGAAAAATTGCAGCCGATGGCACAGCGGTGGGGAGGAAAACATAGGAAGCTTGCAAGCGCGTGGCCTGCGAAAGAAGCATCTGAAGAGATGGCATGTCTGGCAGAGGACACATTGGGCAAGATTCCACGTTTGGCAGCAGGCCCGTGAGCGGCGACAGACGCGTATGGGCCTGTGGCAACCTCGGTTCCTGCCTCCTGAGAAGAAAGACATCGAGTGGCACACGGTAGAGTGAGAGACCGAGGCACGCATTAGAGCAGGGGCGAAAGTTCCTGAAATGGTATCGTGGCAGGAGCCAAAGGAAGTCAAGGAGGCTTGGAAGAGGCCCAGGTGGGCGGTGACCTGAGAGGTGGAGTACAGGACTGGACCTTGGACTCAGGGTCTCCCGCGTCGGCAGCATCGCTGCCTGTCCTCTGATGCTTCCCTCGGCGGGGAAGAGGGGACTGTTCACTAGCACAGTGGCCTGTCACCATCTCATGGGGGCGCGGAGGCGCCGTGTGCTTACTGGAGTTGTTCTCATGCTCTCTTGAGGCGTTCCTCCCACAAGCAGATGAATGTGCCCAGGGGAAAACATCCCAGATCAGTGAACCTTCCACCAGTTTGCCTCTCAGGGTGCACGTGTGAGCCCATTCACCCAACTCCCGAGGTGTGCTGGGGAGGCTTCTGAGGTTCGTGACTGCTGTGGGGGAGGGGGACTGCCTTTCCCTGGTGCTGCCTGTGATCAGTGATTTCTCTAGAGAGTCTGCTTCGTGACCACCGGGCCATCACCTTGCGGCTGCCTGATGTTTACTGGTGGTGGGGAACCCTCTCGGGCCCCGCTCCACACGTGTGACTGAGAGGGACACCTGACAGGATTGAACGCGTGGCAGATCATCCGACGAGATGGAGTGTCTGGTGGAAGGAACATCTGACAGCCCTGAGCGTGTGGCAGAGGGAACATCTAAGCAGACTGCAGCGATTTCAGAAGGAACGGCTAAGAACATCGCATGGTCAGCAGGAGGAAACCTTAGGGTAGGGTGATTGCAGGGGTGCTGGGGGGCAAGGGAACCCGTGAGAAGACTGCGGGATCAGCAGTTGGATGCCCTAGGGAGATTGCAAGGCCTGCCCAAGAGACATCTGGGTAGAGGAAGTATTGGGCCCATGGTGCGCCAGACAAAACTGAATGCTTGTCAGGGGAAGAAGTGGACGCAACTGGCTGTTTGGCAGAGGGAACCCTCAGGTAGATTGCACGTTTGGCAGAAGGCCCAAGTGTGAAGATGACATGGTAGACAGCAGAAACCCTTTAGCAGGTCGCACGGTGGGCAGAAGGAACCTCTGAGCAGATTCCATGGTGGGCAGACGGAATGCCTAGGAAGAGTGCGTGGCTTGCAAAGGAAGCATCTGGAAAGAGGGAACATCTGGGAGAGAAAACATCCACCAAGATGGAGCGTTTGGCGGTAGGGATGTCAGCGGTGGCAGATCCATAGGGGCCTGCAGGCAGCAACCCGAGCTCTCACCTCATCAGAGGGAGTTTAACTGAGGGGCGTGAGGCGGAGTGAAAGAGACCGAGGCCTCTTTGAGCGCAGGAGTGCAGGTCTCCCAGATGGTACCAGAGCAGAAAGACGAGGCAGTAAGGTATACTTGGAAGAGGGCCATGTGGGCAACTGGAGAGGTCGGGGGCACGCTTTGTTCGACCTTTGAGGCGAGGTCTCACACATTGGCAGGCTTCCAAGAGCCAGGGGTTGCATTGCTTCCTCCCCTGAGCCTTTTCTCAGGGTGGGCCATCCACATGGGCAGTGGCCTGTCATCACCTGGGAGGGACCGCAGGCGTGGCGTGTTTCCTGGAGTCATAGGGGCGCTCACATGAGGCGTGCCTCCCTTGGCAGTCGGATGTTGCCTGGGGAGGGTCGTAGGACAGTAAAACCCGGCCGGTTTGCCTGTGAGTGTGCAAGCATGAGCCCCGTCACGCGCCCCCTGAGATCTTCTCAGGGAGCTGCTAATCGCCACCTTCCGGGGTTTCTGTCTGTCTGGGGGACCGCCCGTCCCTGGCACCGGCTCCCGGCAATCATTTATTATTTGAGACAGGTAGTTTAATGGCAGCCTGACCCGTCGCCTCCTGGTCGCCTGATGTGTCTGGTGGGGTGTGGGCGTGGCCCTCTCCCGCGCTGCTCCTGTCTGACCAGCCGCCCACGGTAACACAGAAACATCTGGCAGGATGGAGTGGTTGGCGGAAGACACATCTGACGAGATCGAATGTTTTGCAGAAGAGCCATGTGACGGGATCCGTGGTTTGGCAGAGGAGACATGCGAGAAGACGGAACGTTTTGTCCGAATAGACATCTGGCAGGGTGGAACGGAGAGAACAGGTATGGTGGAGAGAACGTCTGAGAAGGTCGCAGGATTCGCAGGAGCATCGGGAAAAGATTGCCTGCTTGCCCGAAGGAATGGCAAGTTCCAAAGGTCAGAGGCTCGCGTGAACTCTGTCGGGTTCGAGAGCAGCTCAGTGTTGCTGGTGGCAAGAGTGTGGTACGGGAATGGTTGGGTGTGGTTTGAATGTCTAGAAAAGGCGAGCTGAGGGTAGATTTTTGAGCAGTCCAGAGCAGAAGGGGTAGAGGATATATTCTGTGGGCCACGGCCACATTCTCAGGATGCTCGTGGCTGTAAATAGTAGATGACCCAAGTAAGAGCGGCTGAAGCCATAGGCACCAGAATTGTGTCAGCATCGTCATGTCATGCTCATGTTTTCCCTTCCAGCTGTGCTGTGGGCAGTGTTTAGTTCATGTCTGCTTTGCTGGCGGGCCGAGTAGCAACAGCTGCAGTTGGTGTGTTCTCTGAAGGCAGTATCCGAAGGCTGGAGGGGTTGCTTTTCTTCCCAGGTGTCTTTTGAAGAGGCAGTCAAGTCAGCAGCTCGCGGTGACCTTCTGGTAACATCGTATGGGCTGGGTTACAGCACATGCCGACTGCTAAGCCGGTCACTGGGGAAAACCATGTGATTGCTGTGATGAGCTTAGAATGATCATTCCTCCTTCGGGAGCTGGGGTGGGTTGAGGGAGTGATAAAGATCACGATAACCTTGCATTTCTCCAGCGAGAAAGAAGAAAGAAATTCCGTGGATAGGGAGCCAGCCAGGTTTCCTGCAGAAAATCATGGGAAGCTTTTGAGCAGGGGAGTCAGAAGATGAGCGGTGAGTATTAGGGCTTTCCGGTCACGGTGTGACACAGGGATTGGCCAGCTCTTCCTGTAAAGGGCCAGGTGGGAAGCACTCGTAGGCCCCGTGGTCTCTGTCGTGTCTGCTGAAGCCTGCCGTAGTAGCATGGAAGCAGTCAGAGATGACGTGTAAGCAAATGGTCCCGACTGACCTCCGGTAAAGCATTGATTCCGGAAGCATTTAACAGACCTAACAACCTTTCAAACCGCATGGCGTTTCTTTCCCGGATCCCGTTTCAGGAACGTTTCTGTTGGCTACAAGGACCGTCTCCAACATGCTTAGGCTCTGTGAACTTTCCCAGGATCCTGAGTAGGGTATCCGCCATTCGTCCTTAGGGCTCCGGGATGTCTCGTTCTTACTGTGTCCCTGCCAACCCTGGTCCCATCTCGTCATGATCACCCACTGCAGAAGAGAGGAGGTGCTAGAGTGAACAGGGTCAGGGGAGCCCCGTTCATCCCCAGGGTCCCAGAATGAACCAGTGTTACCATGTACCCCTGCCCTTGCCTTCCTCCCTGCTCTAATGGCCGTGTGTTAGCCGGAGATCAGTTTGGGTCTGGGTGCTATGGGTCTGTTGCGCCTGTGGCCTTGGTCCGGCCTCTGTCCTTGTCTCTGTGAAATGAGAGTGACTGTGCCTGAGAGCGTTCCAGCAAGACAATGATGATCTCCACTGTCTGATTCCCGCTTCCCAGGTTCTCACAGTAGACGAGGAGCCTGTTTTTCAGCTAGCTGCCGCAAGGGGGCTGGAAATTTCTCCCTTCAGAGTGGACCTGGAAGGCTTGGAAGCATCTGGAGAAGGGCATGGCCACGAGTAGAGAAATCCAGGCTACAGGCAGAAGTGGGAGGAAGCGAGAGAGGAAGACTCATGGAAAGCCTTGCTGCACTCGCCAAAAGAGCTGCCCTCGGACTCAAGAGGGCCACGTTCAATGCCAACCTGACATAAGGTAGTCACCTCTGGAGCACTTGTGGCCTGGGGCAAAAACACAGCTGGATTGAAGGAAGAGTCTTCCCTGTTCCCAGAGGGGCACTGACTGGAAATGAGCATGAAGGTGGGGTCCCTAAAGGGCCACAGAACGAGGCCCTATGCAGGTGTCGGTACAGACTGCCCCAAAAGCCCCCTGAGAAGTTGGTCCTGGGGTGTAAGAGGAAGGCACAGTGAAGAGCAGGAGTGAAAGCTGCTTCAGCACTTTGGAGCAGGAAGGAAAGGAAGTGAGATACAGTTGGAAGAGGGCGAAGCGGGCAACCTGAGGGATGGAGTGCAGGGTTTGACCTTCGATTCTGGATCTCCTCCATTAGCAGGCTTCCGGGGTGGCGTTGTTGCCTCTCTGCCGATCCTTCCTTCGGGTGGGGCTGTCGACTGGCACCACGGCCTGTCAGACCGTGGGCGGGGGGCGTTGCAGGCACAGTGCGGTTCCTAGTCTTAGGCATGCTCACTTGAGGCGTTCTTCCCCTACCTGTCGACTGATCTCAGAGGAAGGAGACTGAGCTGCTCAGCCCTGCCGGTGTGGCTGGCAGGGTGTCCCGCATTAGCCCATGTGCCCGACTCCTGGGATCTTACAGGGAGGCTGCTGATGTCCACCTTCCAGTGCTTCCGTCCGTTGGGAGCCTGCCCTTCCTTGGCGCCGGCCGGCCGTGAGCGGTTATCCTCCATAGATAGGGTTCAAGAACCGCCCAACCGTCACCTCATGGTCATCTGACATTCCTGGTGGTGGTAGGGGGACCCCCTGGTTCCATGCTCACATCAGACCAGCTACCTCGAGTGACAGGAACGTCTGACAGGATTGCACATGTGGCAGAAGAGCATCCGAGAAGGATGAAGGTTTGGCAGAAGAAACACCTGCCAGATCAGACGTGAATGTGTGGCAGAAAGCCCATCTGGGAAGATTGCACACTGGGCAGAAGGAAGAGCTAAGAACGTTGTACAGACAGCGGAAGGAGTGCCTGTGGAGATTGCCCGGTGGGCGGTGGTAGCATCTGAGAGGATTGCGGGGTGGGAGGGAGGATGAGCTGGGAAGGATGCAAGGCCTGGGGAGGCAACATGTGAAGACGATTAAATATGTGGCAGGAGAAACACCTGAGAAGATGGGATGCTTGGCAAGGGGAACAAGGCCCGGAATGGAGTGTTCGGGAGAAGAGACGCTTAGGGAGATTGCATGTGTGGCAGAAGGAACACGTGAGAAGGTTGCCATGGTGGACAGCAGAAAAATTGCAGCCGATGGCACAGCGGTGGGGAGGAAAACATAGGAAGCTTGCAAGCGCGTGGCCTGCGAAAGAAGCATCTGAAGAGATGGCATGTCTGGCAGAGGACACATTGGGCAAGATTCCACGTTTGGCAGCAGGCCCGTGAGCGGCGACAGACGCGTATGGGCCTGTGGCAACCTCGGTTCCTGCCTCCTGAGAAGAAAGACATCGAGTGGCACACGGTAGAGTGAGAGACCGAGGCACGCATTAGAGCAGGGGCGAAAGTTCCTGAAATGGTATCGTGGCAGGAGCCAAAGGAAGTCAAGGAGGCTTGGAAGAGGCCCAGGTGGGCGGTGACCTGAGAGGTGGAGTACAGGACTGGACCTTGGACTCAGGGTCTCCCGCGTCGGCAGCATCGCTGCCTGTCCTCTGATGCTTCCCTCGGCGGGGAAGAGGGGACTGTTCACTAGCACAGTGGCCTGTCACCATCTCATGGGGGCGCGGAGGCGCCGTGTGCTTACTGGAGTTGTTCTCATGCTCTCTTGAGGCGTTCCTCCCACAAGCAGATGAATGTGCCCAGGGGAAAACATCCCAGATCAGTGAACCTTCCACCAGTTTGCCTCTCAGGGTGCACGTGTGAGCCCATTCACCCAACTCCCGAGGTGTGCTGGGGAGGCTTCTGAGGTTCGTGACTGCTGTGGGGGAGGGGGACTGCCTTTCCCTGGTGCTGCCTGTGATCAGTGATTTCTCTAGAGAGTCTGCTTCGTGACCACCGGGCCATCACCTTGCGGCTGCCTGATGTTTACTGGTGGTGGGGAACCCTCTCGGGCCCCGCTCCACACGTGTGACTGAGAGGGACACCTGACAGGATTGAACGCGTGGCAGATCATCCGACGAGATGGAGTGTCTGGTGGAAGGAACATCTGACAGCCCTGAGCGTGTGGCAGAGGGAACATCTAAGCAGACTGCAGCGATTTCAGAAGGAACGGCTAAGAACATCGCATGGTCAGCAGGAGGAAACCTTAGGGTAGGGTGATTGCAGGGGTGCTGGGGGGCAAGGGAACCCGTGAGAAGACTGCGGGATCAGCAGTTGGATGCCCTAGGGAGATTGCAAGGCCTGCCCAAGAGACATCTGGGTAGAGGAAGTATTGGGCCCATGGTGCGCCAGACAAAACTGAATGCTTGTCAGGGGAAGAAGTGGACGCAACTGGCTGTTTGGCAGAGGGAACCCTCAGGTAGATTGCACGTTTGGCAGAAGGCCCAAGTGTGAAGATGACATGGTAGACAGCAGAAACCCTTTAGCAGGTCGCACGGTGGGCAGAAGGAACCTCTGAGCAGATTCCATGGTGGGCAGACGGAATGCCTAGGAAGAGTGCGTGGCTTGCAAAGGAAGCATCTGGAAAGAGGGAACATCTGGGAGAGAAAACATCCACCAAGATGGAGCGTTTGGCGGTAGGGATGTCAGCGGTGGCAGATCCATAGGGGCCTGCAGGCAGCAACCCGAGCTCTCACCTCATCAGAGGGAGTTTAACTGAGGGGCGTGAGGCGGAGTGAAAGAGACCGAGGCCTCTTTGAGCGCAGGAGTGCAGGTCTCCCAGATGGTACCAGAGCAGAAAGACGAGGCAGTAAGGTATACTTGGAAGAGGGCCATGTGGGCAACTGGAGAGGTCGGGGGCACGCTTTGTTCGACCTTTGAGGCGAGGTCTCACACATTGGCAGGCTTCCAAGAGCCAGGGGTTGCATTGCTTCCTCCCCTGAGCCTTTTCTCAGGGTGGGCCATCCACATGGGCAGTGGCCTGTCATCACCTGGGAGGGACCGCAGGCGTGGCGTGTTTCCTGGAGTCATAGGGGCGCTCACATGAGGCGTGCCTCCCTTGGCAGTCGGATGTTGCCTGGGGAGGGTCGTAGGACAGTAAAACCCGGCCGGTTTGCCTGTGAGTGTGCAAGCATGAGCCCCGTCACGCGCCCCCTGAGATCTTCTCAGGGAGCTGCTAATCGCCACCTTCCGGGGTTTCTGTCTGTCTGGGGGACCGCCCGTCCCTGGCACCGGCTCCCGGCAATCATTTATTATTTGAGACAGGTAGTTTAATGGCAGCCTGACCCGTCGCCTCCTGGTCGCCTGATGTGTCTGGTGGGGTGTGGGCGTGGCCCTCTCCCGCGCTGCTCCTGTCTGACCAGCCGCCCACGGTAACACAGAAACATCTGGCAGGATGGAGTGGTTGGCGGAAGACACATCTGACGAGATCGAATGTTTTGCAGAAGAGCCATGTGACGGGATCCGTGGTTTGGCAGAGGAGACATGCGAGAAGACGGAACGTTTTGTCCGAATAGACATCTGGCAGGGTGGAACGGAGAGAACAGGTATGGTGGAGAGAACGTCTGAGAAGGTCGCAGGATTCGCAGGAGCATCGGGAAAAGATTGCCTGCTTGCCCGAAGGAATGGCAAGTTCCAAAGGTCAGAGGCTCGCGTGAACTCTGTCGGGTTCGAGAGCAGCTCAGTGTTGCTGGTGGCAAGAGTGTGGTACGGGAATGGTTGGGTGTGGTTTGAATGTCTAGAAAAGGCGAGCTGAGGGTAGATTTTTGAGCAGTCCAGAGCAGAAGGGGTAGAGGATATATTCTGTGGGCCACGGCCACATTCTCAGGATGCTCGTGGCTGTAAATAGTAGATGACCCAAGTAAGAGCGGCTGAAGCCATAGGCACCAGAATTGTGTCAGCATCGTCATGTCATGCTCATGTTTTCCCTTCCAGCTGTGCTGTGGGCAGTGTTTAGTTCATGTCTGCTTTGCTGGCGGGCCGAGTAGCAACAGCTGCAGTTGGTGTGTTCTCTGAAGGCAGTATCCGAAGGCTGGAGGGGTTGCTTTTCTTCCCAGGTGTCTTTTGAAGAGGCAGTCAAGTCAGCAGCTCGCGGTGACCTTCTGGTAACATCGTATGGGCTGGGTTACAGCACATGCCGACTGCTAAGCCGGTCACTGGGGAAAACCATGTGATTGCTGTGATGAGCTTAGAATGATCATTCCTCCTTCGGGAGCTGGGGTGGGTTGAGGGAGTGATAAAGATCACGATAACCTTGCATTTCTCCAGCGAGAAAGAAGAAAGAAATTCCGTGGATAGGGAGCCAGCCAGGTTTCCTGCAGAAAATCATGGGAAGCTTTTGAGCAGGGGAGTCAGAAGATGAGCGGTGAGTATTAGGGCTTTCCGGTCACGGTGTGACACAGGGATTGGCCAGCTCTTCCTGTAAAGGGCCAGGTGGGAAGCACTCGTAGGCCCCGTGGTCTCTGTCGTGTCTGCTGAAGCCTGCCGTAGTAGCATGGAAGCAGTCAGAGATGACGTGTAAGCAAATGGTCCCGACTGACCTCCGGTAAAGCATTGATTCCGGAAGCATTTAACAGACCTAACAACCTTTCAAACCGCATGGCGTTTCTTTCCCGGATCCCGTTTCAGGAACGTTTCTGTTGGCTACAAGGACCGTCTCCAACATGCTTAGGCTCTGTGAACTTTCCCAGGATCCTGAGTAGGGTATCCGCCATTCGTCCTTAGGGCTCCGGGATGTCTCGTTCTTACTGTGTCCCTGCCAACCCTGGTCCCATCTCGTCATGATCACCCACTGCAGAAGAGAGGAGGTGCTAGAGTGAACAGGGTCAGGGGAGCCCCGTTCATCCCCAGGGTCCCAGAATGAACCAGTGTTACCATGTACCCCTGCCCTTGCCTTCCTCCCTGCTCTAATGGCCGTGTGTTAGCCGGAGATCAGTTTGGGTCTGGGTGCTATGGGTCTGTTGCGCCTGTGGCCTTGGTCCGGCCTCTGTCCTTGTCTCTGTGAAATGAGAGTGACTGTGCCTGAGAGCGTTCCAGCAAGACAATGATGATCTCCACTGTCTGATTCCCGCTTCCCAGGTTCTCACAGTAGACGAGGAGCCTGTTTTTCAGCTAGCTGCCGCAAGGGGGCTGGAAATTTCTCCCTTCAGAGTGGACCTGGAAGGCTTGGAAGCATCTGGAGAAGGGCATGGCCACGAGTAGAGAAATCCAGGCTACAGGCAGAAGTGGGAGGAAGCGAGAGAGGAAGACTCATGGAAAGCCTTGCTGCACTCGCCAAAAGAGCTGCCCTCGGACTCAAGAGGGCCACGTTCAATGCCAACCTGACATAAGGTAGTCACCTCTGGAGCACTTGTGGCCTGGGGCAAAAACACAGCTGGATTGAAGGAAGAGTCTTCCCTGTTCCCAGAGGGGCACTGACTGGAAATGAGCATGAAGGTGGGGTCCCTAAAGGGCCACAGAACGAGGCCCTATGCAGGTGTCGGTACAGACTGCCCCAAAAGCCCCCTGAGAAGTTGGTCCTGGGGTGTAAGAGGAAGGCACAGTGAAGAGCAGGAGTGAAAGCTGCTTCAGCACTTTGGAGCAGGAAGGAAAGGAAGTGAGATACAGTTGGAAGAGGGCGAAGCGGGCAACCTGAGGGATGGAGTGCAGGGTTTGACCTTCGATTCTGGATCTCCTCCATTAGCAGGCTTCCGGGGTGGCGTTGTTGCCTCTCTGCCGATCCTTCCTTCGGGTGGGGCTGTCGACTGGCACCACGGCCTGTCAGACCGTGGGCGGGGGGCGTTGCAGGCACAGTGCGGTTCCTAGTCTTAGGCATGCTCACTTGAGGCGTTCTTCCCCTACCTGTCGACTGATCTCAGAGGAAGGAGACTGAGCTGCTCAGCCCTGCCGGTGTGGCTGGCAGGGTGTCCCGCATTAGCCCATGTGCCCGACTCCTGGGATCTTACAGGGAGGCTGCTGATGTCCACCTTCCAGTGCTTCCGTCCGTTGGGAGCCTGCCCTTCCTTGGCGCCGGCCGGCCGTGAGCGGTTATCCTCCATAGATAGGGTTCAAGAACCGCCCAACCGTCACCTCATGGTCATCTGACATTCCTGGTGGTGGTAGGGGGACCCCCTGGTTCCATGCTCACATCAGACCAGCTACCTCGAGTGACAGGAACGTCTGACAGGATTGCACATGTGGCAGAAGAGCATCCGAGAAGGATGAAGGTTTGGCAGAAGAAACACCTGCCAGATCAGACGTGAATGTGTGGCAGAAAGCCCATCTGGGAAGATTGCACACTGGGCAGAAGGAAGAGCTAAGAACGTTGTACAGACAGCGGAAGGAGTGCCTGTGGAGATTGCCCGGTGGGCGGTGGTAGCATCTGAGAGGATTGCGGGGTGGGAGGGAGGATGAGCTGGGAAGGATGCAAGGCCTGGGGAGGCAACATGTGAAGACGATTAAATATGTGGCAGGAGAAACACCTGAGAAGATGGGATGCTTGGCAAGGGGAACAAGGCCCGGAATGGAGTGTTCGGGAGAAGAGACGCTTAGGGAGATTGCATGTGTGGCAGAAGGAACACGTGAGAAGGTTGCCATGGTGGACAGCAGAAAAATTGCAGCCGATGGCACAGCGGTGGGGAGGAAAACATAGGAAGCTTGCAAGCGCGTGGCCTGCGAAAGAAGCATCTGAAGAGATGGCATGTCTGGCAGAGGACACATTGGGCAAGATTCCACGTTTGGCAGCAGGCCCGTGAGCGGCGACAGACGCGTATGGGCCTGTGGCAACCTCGGTTCCTGCCTCCTGAGAAGAAAGACATCGAGTGGCACACGGTAGAGTGAGAGACCGAGGCACGCATTAGAGCAGGGGCGAAAGTTCCTGAAATGGTATCGTGGCAGGAGCCAAAGGAAGTCAAGGAGGCTTGGAAGAGGCCCAGGTGGGCGGTGACCTGAGAGGTGGAGTACAGGACTGGACCTTGGACTCAGGGTCTCCCGCGTCGGCAGCATCGCTGCCTGTCCTCTGATGCTTCCCTCGGCGGGGAAGAGGGGGCTGTTCACTAGCACAGTGGCCTGTCACCATCTCATGGGGGTGCGGAGGCGCCGTGTGCTTACTGGAGTTGTTCTCATGCTCTCTTGAGGCGTTCCTCCCACAAGCAGATGAATGTGCCCAGGGGAAAACATCCCAGATCAGTGAACCTTCCACCAGTTTGCCTCTCAGGGTGCACGTGTGAGCCCATTCACCCAACTCCCGAGGTGTGCTGGGGAGGCTTCTGAGGTTCGTGACTGCTGTGGGGGAGGGGGACTGCCTTTCCCTGGTGCTGCCTGTGATCAGTGATTTCTCTAGAGAGTCTGCTTCGTGACCACCGGGCCATCACCTTGCGGCTGCCTGATGTTTACTGGTGGTGGGGAACCCTCTCGGGCCCCGCTCCACACGTGTGACTGAGAGGGACACCTGACAGGATTGAACGCGTGGCAGATCATCCGACGAGATGGAGTGTCTGGTGGAAGGAACATCTGACAGCCCTGAGCGTGTGGCAGAGGGAACATCTAAGCAGACTGCAGCGATTTCAGAAGGAACGGCTAAGAACATCGCATGGTCAGCAGGAGGAAACCTTAGGGTAGGGTGATTGCAGGGGTGCTGGGGGGCAAGGGAACCCGTGAGAAGACTGCGGGATCAGCAGTTGGATGCCCTAGGGAGATTGCAAGGCCTGCCCAAGAGACATCTGGGTAGAGGAAGTATTGGGCCCATGGTGCGCCAGACAAAACTGAATGCTTGTCAGGGGAAGAAGTGGACGCAACTGGCTGTTTGGCAGAGGGAACCCTCAGGTAGATTGCACGTTTGGCAGAAGGCCCAAGTGTGAAGATGACATGGTAGACAGCAGAAACCCTTTAGCAGGTCGCACGGTGGGCAGAAGGAACCTCTGAGCAGATTCCATGGTGGGCAGACGGAATGCCTAGGAAGAGTGCGTGGCTTGCAAAGGAAGCATCTGGAAAGAGGGAACATCTGGGAGAGAAAACATCCACCAAGATGGAGCGTTTGGCGGTAGGGATGTCAGCGGTGGCAGATCCATAGGGGCCTGCAGGCAGCAACCCGAGCTCTCACCTCATCAGACGGAGTTTAACTGAGGGGCGTGAGGCGGAGTGAAAGAGACCGAGGCCTCTTTGAGCGCAGGAGTGCAGGTCTCCCAGATGATACCAGAACAGAAAGACGAGGCAGTAAGGTATACTTGGAAGAGGGCCATGTGGGCAACTGGAGAGGTCGGGGGCACGCTTTGTTCGACCTTTGAGGCGAGGTCTCACACATTGGCAGGCTTCCAAGAGCCAGGGGTTGCATTGCTTCCTCCCCTGAGCCTTTTCTCAGGGTGGGCCATCCACATGGGCAGTGGCCTGTCATCACCTGGGAGGGACCGCAGGCGTGGCGTGTTTCCTGGAGTCATAGGGGCGCTCACATGAGGCGTGCCTCCCTTGGCAGTCGGATGTTGCCTGGGGAGGGTCGTAGGACAGTAAAACCCGGCCGGTTTGCCTGTGAGTGTGCAAGCATGAGCCCCGTCACGCGCCCCCTGAGATCTTCTCAGGGAGCTGCTAATCGCCACCTTCCGGGGTTTCTGTCTGTCTGGGGGACCGCCCGTCCCTGGCACCGGCTCCCGGCAATCATTTATTATTTGAGACAGGTAGTTTAATGGCAGCCTGACCCGTCGCCTCCTGGTCGCCTGATGTGTCTGGTGGGGTGTGGGCGTGGCCCTCTCCTGCGCTGCTCCTGTCTGACCAGCCGCCCACGGTAACACAGAAACATCTGGCAGGATGGAGTGGTTGGCGGAAGACACATCTGACGAGATCGAATGTTTTGCAGAAGAGCCATGTGACGGGATCCGTGGTTTGGCAGAGGAGACATGCGAGAAGACGGAACGTTTTGTCCGAATAGACATCTGGCAGGGTGGAACGGAGAGAACAGGTATGGTGGAGAGAACGTCTGAGAAGGTCGCAGGATTCGCAGGAGCATCGGGAAAAGATTGCCTGCTTGCCCGAAGGAATGGCAAGTTCCAAAGGTCAGAGGCTCGCGTGAACTCTGTCGGGTTCGAGAGCAGCTCAGTGTTGCTGGTGGCAAGAGTGTGGTACGGGAATGGTTGGGTGTGGTTTGAATGTCTAGAAAAGGCGAGCTGAGGGTAGATTTTTGAGCAGTCCAGAGCAGAAGGGGTAGAGGATATATTCTGTGGGCCACGGCCACATTCTCAGGATGCTCGTGGCTGTAAATAGTAGATGACCCAAGTAAGAGCGGCTGAAGCCATAGGCACCAGAATTGTGTCAGCATCGTCGTGTCATGCTCATGTTTTCCCTTCCAGCTGTGCTGTGGGCAGTGTTTAGTTCATGTCTGCTTTGCTGGCGGGCCGAGTAGCAACAGCTGCAGTTGGTGTGTTCTCTGAAGGCAGTATCCGAAGGCTGGAGGGGTTGCTTTTCTTCCCAGGTGTCTTTTGAAGAGGCAGTCAAGTCAGCAGCTCGCGGTGACCTTCTGGTAACATCGTATGGGCTGGGTTACAGCACATGCCGACTGCTAAGCCGGTCACTGGGGAAAACCATGTGATTGCTGTGATGAGCTTAGAATGATCATTCCTCCTTCGGGAGCTGGGGTGGGTTGAGGGAGTGATAAAGATCCCGATAACCTTGCATTTCTCCAGCGAGAAAGAAGAAAGAAATTCCGTGGATAGGGAGCCAGCCAGGTTTCCTGCAGAAAATCATGGGAAGCTTTTGAGCAGGGGAGTCAGAAGATGAGCGGTGAGTATTAGGGCTTTCCGGTCACGGTGTGACACAGGGATTGGCCAGCTCTTCCTGTAAAGGGCCAGGTGGGAAGCACTCGTAGGCCCCGTGGTCTCTGTCGTGTCTGCTGAAGCCTGCCGTAGTAGCGTGGAAGCAGTCAGAGATGACGTGTAAGCAAATGGTCCCGACTGACCTCCGGTAAAGCATTGATTCCGGAAGCATTTAACAGACCTAACAACCTTTCAAACCGCATGGCGTTTCTTTCCCGGATCCCGTTTCAGGAACGTTTCTGTTGGCTACAAGGACCGTCTCCAACATGCTTAGGCTCTGTGAACTTTCCCAGGATCCTGAGTAGGGTATCCGCCATTCGTCCTTAGGGCTCCGGGATGTCTCGTTCTTACTGTGTCCCTGCCAACCCTGGTCCCATCTCGTCATGATCACCCACTGCAGAAGAGAGGAGGTGCTAGAGTGAACAGGGTCAGGGGAGCCCCGTTCATCCCCAGGGTCCCAGAATGAACCAGTGTTACCATGTACCCCTGCCCTTGCCTTCCTCCCTGCTCTAATGGCCGTGTGTTAGCCGGAGATCAGTTTGGGTCTGGGTGCTATGGGTCTGTTGCGCCTGTGGCCTTGGTCCGGCCTCTGTCCTTGTCTCTGTGAAATGAGAGTGACTGTGCCTGAGAGCGTTCCAGCAAGACAATGATGATCTCCACTGTCTGATTCCCGCTTCCCAGGTTCTCACAGTAGACGAGGAGCCTGTTTTTCAGCTAGCTGCCGCAAGGGGGCTGGAAATTTCTCCCTTCAGAGTGGACCTGGAAGGCTTGGAAGCATCTGGAGAAGGGCATGGCCACGAGTAGAGAAATCCAGGCTACAGGCAGAAGTGGGAGGAAGCGAGAGAGGAAGACTCATGGAAAGCCTTGCTGCACTCGCCAAAAGAGCTGCCCTCGGACTCAAGAGGGCCACGTTCAATGCCAACCTGACATAAGGTAGTCACCTCTGGAGCACTTGTGGCCTGGGGCAAAAACACAGCTGGATTGAAGGAAGAGTCTTCCCTGTTCCCAGAGGGGCACTGACTGGAAATGAGCATGAAGGTGGGGTCCCTAAAGGGCCACAGAACGAGGCCCTATGCAGGTGTCGGTACAGACTGCCCCAAAAGCCCCCTGAGCAGTTGGCCCTAGGGCTTCAGAGGTAGGCACGGTGAAGAGCCGGAGTGAAAGCTGCTTCAGCACTTTGGAGCAGGAAGGAAAGAAAGCGAGATACAGTTGGAAGATAGTGAAGTGGACAACCTGAGGGATGGAGTGCAGGGTTTGACCTTCAACTTGGGGTCTCCTCCTTGGGCAGCCTTCTGGGGTGGCGTCATTGCCTCTCCACTGATCCTTCCCTTGGGCGGTGCTGTCAACCGGTGCCGCTGCCTGTCAGCCCATGGGCGAGGTGAGTCACAGGCACTGTGGGGTTCTTGGAGTCTTAGGCCTGCTCACTTGAGGCATTCTTCCCCTATTCGTTGAGTGTTCTCAGAGGGAGGGGACGGAGCTGCTCAACCCTGCTCTTGTGGCTGTCAAGGTGTCCTGCATTATCCCACACGCCCAACTCCTGGGATCTTACAGGGAGGCTGCTGATGTCCACCTTCCTGCGCTTCCATCCATCAGGTGCCTGCCCTTCCTTGGCTGCAGCCGGCCGTGAGGAGTTTTCCTCCATAGATAGGGTTCAAGTACCGCCCAACTGTCACCTCATGGTCATCTGACATTCCTGGTGGTGGTGGGGGGACCCCCGGTACTATGCTCACGTCAGACCAAGTACCTCAAGTGATAGGAACGTCTGACAGGATTGCACATGTGGCAGAAGAGCATCCGAGAAGATTGAAGCTTTGGCAGAAGAAACACCTGCCAGATCAGATGTGAATGTGTGGCAGAAGGCCCATCTGGGAAGATTGCACATTGGGTAGTAGGAAGACCTAAGAGCACTGGACAGCAGAAGGAGTGCCTCTGGAGATTGCCCGGTGGGCGGCGGTAGCATCTGGGAGGATTGCGGGGTGTGCGGGAGGATGAGCTGGGAAGGATTCAAGGCCTTGGGAGGCAACATGTGAAGATGATTAAATATGTGGCAGAAGAAACACCTGAGAAGATGGGATGCTTGCCAGGGGGAACAAGGGACAGAGTGGAGCGTTTGGGAGAAGGGATGCTTAGGGAGATTGCACGTGTGGTGGAAGGAACATGTGAGAAGGTTGCATGGTGGACAGCAGAAACCTTGCAGCTGATGGCACAGCAGCAGGGAGGAAAACGTAGGAAGCATGCAAGTGCGTGGCCTGCGAAAGAAGCATCTGAAGGGATGGCATGTCTGGCTGAGGACAGGCACATTGGGCAAGATTCCACGTTTGGCAGTGGGGCCCGTGAGTGGCGGCAGATGCGTGCAGGCCTGCGGCAACCTCGGTTCCTGCCTCCTGAGCAGAAGGACATCGACCGAGGGGCACAAGGCAGAGGGAGAGACTGAGGAACACGTTGGAGCAGGGGCGAAAGTTCCTGAAACGGTATTGTGGCAGGAGCCAAAGGAAGTCAAGGAGGCTTGGAAGAGGCCCAGGCAGGCAGCAGCCTGAGAGGTGCAGTGCAGGGCTGGACCTTCGACTCGGGGTCTCCCCCATTGGCAGCATTGCTGCCGGTCCCCTGATGCTTCTCTTGTCGGGGAAGAGGGGGCAGTCCACTGGCGCAGTGGCCTGTTAGCATCTTCTTGTGGGGTGGAGGGGCGGGGGCCGCAGGTGCTGTGTGCTTACTGGAGTTGTTAGCGTGCTTGCTTGAGGCATTTCTCCAGCAAGCAGACGAATGTGTCCAGGGGTAAAGGTCCTACAGCAGTGAACCTCCCACCAGTTTGCCTCTCAGGGCACGTGCGTGAGCCCACTTGCCCAACTCACAAGGTCTGCCAGGGATGCTTCCGATGTTCCTGACTGCTGTGGGGGAGGGGGACTGCCTTTCCCTGGCACTGCCTGCGCCAGTGATTTCTCTAGAGAGTCTGCTTTGAGACCACACGACCATCACCTCGCGGCTGCCTAACATTTACTGGTGGTGGGGAACCCTCTCGGGCCCCGCTCTGCACGTGTGACGGAGAGGGACACCTGACAGGATTGAACGTGTGCCAGAAGATCATCTGACGAGATGGAGTGTCTGGCGGAAGGAACATCTGACAGCCGAGTGTGACAGAGGTAACATCTAAGCAGACTGCAGCGATTTCGGAAGGAACTGCTAAGAACATCTGGTGATCAGCATGAGGAAACCTTAGGGTAGGGAGATTGCAGGGGGGGCTGGCAGGGTGAGGGAACCCGTGAGAAGACTGCAGGATGGGCAGTTGGACGCCCTAGGCAGATTGCAAGGCCTGCCCAAGAAACATCTGGGTGGAGGAAGTATTGGGCCCATGGTGCGCCGGACAAGACTGAGCGCTTGTCAGGGGAGGGAGCGGACACAACTAGCTGTTTGGCAGAAGGAACACTCAGGTAGACTGCACGTTTAGCAGAAGGCCTAAGTGCGAAGATGGCGTGGTCAACAGCAGAAAACCCTTAAGCAGGTCTCATGGTGGGCAGAAGGAACCTCTGAGCAGATTCCACGGTGGGTAGACGGAACACCTAGGAAGATTGCATGCCGTGCAAAGGAAACAGCTGGAAAGAGGGAACATTTGGGAGAGAAAACATCCGCTAAGATGGGGTGTTTGGCGGTAGGGACGTCCGCGGCGGTGGATCCATAGAGGCCTGCACGCAGCAACCTGAGCTCTTGCCTCGTCAGAGGGAGTTTGACTGAGGGGCATGAGGCGGAGGGAGAGAAACCGAGGCCACTTTAAGCGCGGGTCTCCCAGATGGTACCGGAGCAGGGAGGCGAGGCAATAAGGTACACTTAGAAGAATGCCATGTGTGCAACTGGAGAGGTCAGGGGCATGCATTGTTCGACCTTTGAGGAGAGGTCTCACACATTGGCAGGCTTCCAGGAGCCAGGGGTTGCGTCGCTTCCTCCCCTGAGCCTTTTCACAGGGCGGGCCATCCACATGGGCAGTGGCCTGTCGGCACTTGGGAGGGACCGCAGGCGCAGCGTGTTTCCTGGAGTCGTAGGGGTGCTCACTTGAGGCGTGCCTCCCTCGGCAGTTGGATGTTGCCCAGGGAGGGTCATAGGACAGTGAAACCCGGCCGGTTTGCCTGTGAATGCGCAAGCGTGAACCCCCTCGCCCACCCCCTGAGATCTCGGGGAGCTGCTCATCGCCACCTTCCAGGGTTTCTGTCTGTCTGGGGGACTGCCCGTCCCCGGCGGGGCTCCCAGCAATCATCTGTTATTTGAGAGAGGCAGTTTAATGGTGGCCTGACCCATCACCTCCTGGTCACCTGAGGTGTCAGGTGGGGTGTGGGCGTGGCCCTCTCCTGCGCTGCTCCTGTCTGACCAGCCGCCCACGGTAACACAGAAACATCTGGCAGGATGGAGTGGTTGGCGGAAGACACATCTGACGAGATCGAATGTTTTGCAGAAGAGCCATGTGACCAGATCCCTGGTTTGGCAGAGGAGACATGCGAGAAGACGGAACGTTTTGGCCGAGGAGACATCTGGCAGGGTGGAACGGAGGGAACAGGTGTGGCAGAGAGAATATCTGAGAAGCTCGCAGGATTCCCAGAAGGAGCACTGGGAGTAGATTGCCTGTTTTCCCGAAGGAACGGCAAGTTCCAAAGGTCAGAGGCTCATGTGAACTCTGTCGGGTTCAGGAGCAGCTCAGTGTTGCTGGTGGCAAGAGTGTGGTACGAGAGTGGTTGGGCGTGGTTTGAATATCTAGAAAAGGCGAGCTGAGGGTAGATTTTTGAACAGTCCGGAGTAGGAGGGGTAGAGACATATTCTATGGGCCACAGCCACATTCTCAGGATGCTCGTGGCTGTAAATAGTAGATGACCCAAGTAAGAGCGGCTGAAGCCATAGGCACCAGAATTGTGTTGGCATCGTCGTGTCACGCTCACGTTTTCCCTTCCAGCTGTGCTGTGGGCAGTGTTTACTTCATGTCTGCTTTGCTGGCGGGCCAAGTAGCAACAGCTGCAGTCGGCGTGTTCTCTGAAGGCAGCGTGTGAAGGGTGGAGGGGTTGCTCTTCTTCCCAGGTGTCTTTTGAAGAGGCAGTCAAGTCAGCAGCTCACAGTGGCCTTCTGGTAACATCGTATGGGCTGGGTTACAGCACATGCCGACTGCTAAGCCAGTCACTGGGGAAAACCATGTGATTGCTGTGATGAGCTTAGAATGATCATTCCTCCTTCAGGAGCTGGGGTGGGTTGAGGGAACGATAAAGATCCTGATAACCTTGCATTTCTCCAGCGAGAAAGAAGAAATTCCGTGGATAGGGAGCCAGCCAGGTTTCCTGCAGAGATTCACGGGAAGCTTTTGAGCAGGGGAGTCAGAAGATGAGCGGTGAGTATTAGGACTTTCCAGTCACGGCGTGACGCAGGGTTTGGCCAGTTCTTCCTGTAAAGGGGCAGGTGGGAAACGCTTGTAGGCCCGGTGGTCTCTGTCATGTCTGCTGAAGCCTGCTGTAGCAGTGTGGAAGCAGTCAGAGATGACACGTAAGCAAATGGTCCTGACTGGCCTCTGGTAAAGCGTCGATTCCAGAAGCATTTAACAGACCTAATAACCTTTCAAACCGCACAGGGTTTCTTTCCCAGGTCCTGTTTCAGGAAAGTTTTTGGCGGCTTACAAGGACTGTGTCCATCATGCTTGGGCTCTCTTATCTTTCCCAGGATCCTGAATAGGGCATCCCCCGTTCATCCATAGGGCTCTGGGATGTCTTGGTCTTACTGTTTCCCTGCCAAACCCGGTGCCATCTCGTCATGATCACCCACTGGAGAAGAGAGGAGGTGCTGGAGTGAACCGGTTCGGGGAAGCCCCATTCATCCCTGGGGTCCCAGAATGAACCGTTGTTACCATGTGCCCCTGTTCTTGCCTTCCTCCCTGCTCTAATGGACGTGTGTTAGCCTGGGATCAGCCTTGGTCTGGGTGCTATCGTTCTGTTGCACCTGTGGCCTTTGTCCGGACTCTGTCCTTGTCTGCGTGACGTGAGAGTGACTGTGGGTGAGAGCGTTCCAGCAAGACAATGATGATCTCTGCTGTCTGATTCCCACTTCCCAGATTCTCACAGTAGACGAGGAGCCTGTTTTTCAGCTAGCTGCTGCAAGGAGCTGGACATTTCTCCCTTCAAATAGGACCTGGAAGGCCTGGAAGCATCTGGAGAAGGGCATGGCTGTGAGTAGAGAAACAGAGGATACAGGCTAAAGCAGGAGGAAGCGAGAGGACTCACGGAAAGCCTTGCTGCACTCTCCAAAAGAGCTGCCCTTTTCACGTGGTATGCTGTCCACATTGGCTGTGTCCTGTTGACAGCTGGGAGGGGCCGTAGGCATGGCGTTTTTCCTGCAGTTGCAGGCACTCTCACTTGAGGCGTGTCTTTTTCGGCAGTAGGATGTTGCCCGGGGAAGGTCATAGGGTAGTGAAACCTGGCCGGTATGCCTGTGAGGAGGTGTGTGTGAGCCCCCTCGCCTGCCTCCTGATACCTTCTTGGGGAGCTGCTCATCACCACCTTCTGGGATTTCTGTCTGTTGGGGGCACTGCCGTCCCTGGCGCTGCCTCCCAGCCATCATTTCTTATTTGAGAAAGGCAATTTAACGACGGCCTGCCCTGTCACTTCCTGGTCACCTGACATATCTGGTGGGGTGTGGGCTAGACCCTCTCATGCGCTGATCCTGTGTGTCCAGCCATCCACAGTAACACAGAAACATCTGGCAAGATGGAATGGTTGGTGGAAGACACTTCTGATGAGGTCGAATGTTTTGCAGAAGAGCTATGTGATCGGATCCCCGGTTTGGCAGAGTAGACATGCGAGAAGACTGAACGTTTCATCGTTGAAACCTCTTAAAGGTGGAATGTGTGGCAGAAAGAACGTCTGAGAAGCTCACGCGATTTGCAGAAGGAACATTTGTAGAAGATTCCCTGTTTTCCGAAGGAATGTCAAGTTCCAAAGGTCAGAGACTCACATGAATTCTTTCCGTTTTAGGAACCATACATTGTTGCTATTGTAAAGAGTGTGGTACTGACGTCGTTGGGCATAATTTGAATGTCTAGAAAAAGTGAGCTTAGGGAAGATTTTTGAGCAGTCCAGAACAGGAGGGGTAGAGGATATATTTTGCGGGCCACGGCCACATTCTCAGGATGCTCGTGGCTTTAAATAGTAGACGACCCAAATAATAGCAGCTGACGCCATAGGCACCAGAGTTGTGTTGGTATCGTTGTGTCATGCTCACATTTCCCTTCCAGCCATGCCGTGGGCAGTTTTTAGTTCATGTGTGCTTTTCCGGTGGACTGAGTAGCAACAGCTGCAGTTGGCGTGTTGTCTGAAGGCAGTATCTGAAGTGTGGATGGGTTGGTCTTCTTCCCAGGTGTCTTTTCAACAGGCAGTCAAGTCTGCAGCTCATAGTGACCTTCCGGAAACATCATATGGTCTGTATTACAGCACATGCCTATTGCTAAACCCATCACTGGTGAAGGCCATGTGATTCCTGTGATGTGCTTAGAATGATCATTTCTCTTTCGAGACCTGAGTTAACAAGTGCAGGGTTTGACTCAGGGTGTCATTTGTTGGCAGGCTTTCAGGGTAGTGTTTTTGCCTCTCCCCTGATCCTTCCTTTGTGTGGGTCTCCCAGTGCCGTGGCCTGTCAGCCCATGGGTTTTGGGTGTCACACGTGCATGTGGTTCCTGGAGTCTTAGGCATGTGCTCTTTTCTTACCCATTGAGTGTTTTTAGAGGAAGGTTATGGAGCTGCTAAACCCAGCCCTTCTGGCTGTTAAGTGTCCTGCATGAGCCCACGCACCTGATTCCTGGGATTTTACTGGGAAGCTGCTGATGTCCACCTTCCGGCTCTTTTGTTCTTTGGGAGGCTGCCCTTTTTTGGCACCGGCAGGCTGCGAATGGTTTTCTTCCATAGAAACATTTCAACAACTGCCTGGCCGTCATCTAATGGTTGTCTGACATTTCTCGTGGTGGTGGGGGAAGCCCCTCATACCCTGCTTATGTCAGACCAGTTACCTAGAGTGACTGGAATGTCTGACAGGATTGCACATTTGGCAGAAGAACGTCCGAGAAGATTCAGTGTTTGGCAGAAGAAACCTCTGTCAGACGTGAACGTGTGACAGAAGGGCCATCCAGGAAGATTGCACACTGGGCAGAAAGAAGACTTAAGAACATTGCATGGACAGCAGAAGGAGTGCTTCGGGAGATTGCCTGGTGGGCGCCAGGAACACCTGAGATGATGTCATGGCAAACAGTGGAAATGAGAGGTTTACATTTAATGTCTTGTTTACATAAGGTAGTAAACTCTGGAGCACTTGTGGTTAGGGGTGAAAACTCACCCTGGGTGAAGGAAGAATCTTCCCTCTTCCCAGAGGGGCAATGACTGGAAACGAGCAAGTAGGTGGGGTCTTTAAAGGGCCACAGTACTAGGCTCTATCCTGACAGCTGTTCAGACTGCCCCAAAAGGCTTGTGAGAAGTTGTTGCTAGGGCATAACAGGACAGTTAGATTAAGAGTAGGAGTGATAGCTTCTTCAACACTTTGGAGCAGGAAGGAATGGAAGCAAGATACAGTTGGAAGAGGGTGTAGTGGGTGACTTGATGAATCGAGTTCATGGTATTATTTTTGACTTGGATTCTCCTTCATTGGCATGCTTCTGAGTTGGCGTCATTGCCTCTGCCCTGATCCTTCCCTTGAGTGGGGCTGTTCACCAGTGCAGCGGCCAGTGAGCTCTTTGGGCGGGGTGTGTGGCATACACAGTGCGATGTCTGGAATCTTACACGTGCTTACTTGAGGCATTCTTACTCCACCGGTCGAGTGTTCTCAAAGAAAGATGATGGAGCTGCTAAACCTTGCCCATTTTGATCTGTTATGTGAGACTTGCCTTTCGCCTTCTGTCATGATTGTGAAGTGTCCCCAGCCATGTGGAACTGTGAGTCCATTAATCTTTTTTCCATTTAAATTACCCTCTCTCAGGTATGTTTTTGTCAGCAGTTTTAAAACAGACTAATTTTAGAAGCTTGGCCCTAGTTCTTTGTAGGCCTTTCAATATTAAAAATGTCCAATATTGAATATTAAAAGTATTCAGTATTTCTATTAAACTCTTGAGTCATTGGGGTTCCAATCAGGGTTGTCAATATGTACTGCCCCTCTTCCTTTTGGTAATGGAGTTTCCCTTGTTTCTTTTCTTTCCCTATTTTGTCTTGCATTTTTATTTATTTATTTATTTTTATATGTTTTTTTGTCGCACTGTAGGACACATATTGCTTGTCTCTGAACTTCTCAGCTGCCTGCAGATCTTCCTGTTTTTCAGCTGCAGTTAGGGTTTGTCTGAGGAGAAGCATAACATCCCTCCAGGTAAGGTCCGACACCTGAGTTAAATTTTGGAAAGCTTCTTTATACCTGTCAGGGTCATTCGAAAACCAGCCTAATTCTCTTTATCTGCCTGTGGTTCTGCAATGAGAAGGGAACTGGAACCTTAGTGACATTGTCTCCATTAGGCATTGCCTGCAGTGGTAAGCGTCAGACTGTGGAATGAGGAGTGATGACACTGGAGGGGCTGACATTGCATTTGGAAGGGGCCCTGAATAAGGGGGACCAAGAGGGGCCTGAACAACTGCCTTAGATGTTTTTCCCAGAATTTGTTTCGCTAGTGTGGGGGAGTTACTTCCTTTGGGCCTGCCTGATATGACTGTTAAAATAGCTGTGTTGATTGTGCAATGCTTACAAATGTCTAGTAACCTTTGGTTCTCCACTGGTGATTGTTTTTTTTTGACTTTGTAAACCTGTGTGACCTGTATGGTTCCTCAATAGATGGATCTTGGAAAATAGGATGTAATAGTTGTATTTGGGCAAGGCCTCTTTAATGGAGACAGTGTACTGAGTTGAGCTCTCTATTTTGCTATCATGGCCTCGAGTCATGTACTTATTCTTAGGCAGTGATTCTGGTTAACTTTCAGACATAAAATGTTACTATTTAAGTAACATGTTAATTGGAGGCAGAATAGGTGCCTTAAAATAATGTAAGGAATGAAAGGTGGTTTTCCTGCTCATGGGACAGTACTGGGGCTAAAACTTCATTTTGGAGGACATTTTCCCCCTCATTGTTGAGTTTTCCCATTCACAGAAGCAGCATAAAGCCTGGTCTCTAGTAGAGAGTGCAAAAGTGAGAATTCAGAAACTAGAATGTTTCAGCAAAGGGCTGACAAGCTGTCTCATGGAGAGGATTCTAATTGCAATAGGTGGTGCTGTTGACCTTGAAATACCATGTGCTCTACAGACCAAGGGCTGAGAGAGAGAGAGAGAGAGAGAGAGAGAGAGAGAGAGAGAGAGTCGTTCACTGGATGGGATGGGTGAGACCCTCTGTTTCTAGAAAATCACAAAAATGGCACTCCCTTGATCTATATTCCCAGTTACCAGAGCATTTCCAAATCTTGCCTAACAGGATTATTTCCCTGAGCTTTAAAAATTTCTGCAGCATTGCACACACACAGTAGATAAGAGACATGGTTGTCTTAGACAGGAAAGGAGGAAAATTGCAATAGGAAAGGCTCCAAGATCCTGTTGCAGATGCCCATCCGGCAGTCAGAGGGTGGAGTTAGTCCAGAAGCCTTTGGGTAACAGTGGGGTATGGTCCTGGGAAGGAAGCATTAGTTGCCTCTGGACCTCTTCCAGACCCACATGACACCTAGGCTGTCTGTGAAAGAAAACTGGTTCAAAAGAGAGTCAACATTCCCAGCACTTTGAGGGCCCTGGGGGATTCACTAAGTTTTCTCTGTTGTCTTAGTATTGAGAATGGTTGCCACCCTAAAGGTTTTTTTAATTTGCTATCAGTTGCCCAGTTTTTAGTTTATAATTTTAAAGTTGAGGGCAGAAGCCCTCAAAATCAAAGTAAAGGTTTAGGGTCCACTCCTCTACTCACCTTTCCGATGAATCTACCTTGGATCCCCAACCAGCCCCCACAATGAAATGGCATTATTGTCTGTGGTAAATATCTGAGATTCGTTGTCTCACAGACCTGGAAAACTAGGCCACAGACACTCAGAGTGAGGCTCAGAGCAGAAGTTTAATAGGTGAAAGAAAGAGAAAAGCTCTCTTGCTACAGAGAAGGGTCCCAGAGAAATGGGTTGCTGGTTCGGCAGTGAAGTGCAAGGGGCTTTATAGATGAGCTTGAAGTGGGGAGGTGTCTGATTTACCTAAGACACAAAAGATTGGTTTGACCAGGTGTGCCATTTGCATAGGGCATGAAAAGCTGGCTGCCCCCACCATAACCTTTTATTATGCAGATGGCTTTTCTGCCTGGCCAGTGTCACATTGCCCTTTTTTCTTTTTTTTTCTTTTTTACTGTAAACATAGTAACAATAAAAGGGAAGATGGAGCCTCTGTGTTGGACATGCCTGGCCCCCAGGTAGCCCTTTTCTATTGGCGCAGCTACTAGCATCCTAAATCATTTATTTCTACCTCCTGTATCATGGCAGCAGATCTGTATGGGTCTGCAGCAACCTCAATTCTTGTCTTCTAAGAAGAAAGAATTTGACTGAAGGGAGTAAGCCAGAGGGAGAGACCAAGGAAAGTTTTAAAACAGGAGTGAAAGTTTATTAAACAGCATCAGAATAAGAGCCAAAGGTAATAAAGTACATCTGGAAGTGGGCCAAACGGGTGACCTGAGAGATCAAGTGCATGGTTTGATTTTTGACTTGGGGTCTCATAGGTTAGCAGGCTTCGGGGATTGTTTTTTCTCACTGATGCTTCCCTTGGGGCAGGTTGTCCACATGCAGAGTGGTCCATCAGCACTTGGTAGGGGCTGAATGTGCAGTATGGTTACTGGAGTTGTATGCACGCTCGCTTGATGTGTTCCTCCTGAACCAGTCAAATGTTGCCAGAGAAAGGTACTAGAGCTCTTAAACTACACCCACTACCATGCGTGAGCCCACTAGCCGAACTCCTTTGAGCTTATCAGGAAGCTGCTGAACACTATCTGGTGTTTCTGTCTGTGGCAGGAACCATTTTTCCCTGGCACCAGCTGGCACTGGCTGCGAACAGTAAATATTTCAGAGATGCAGTTTACAACCACCTGACCATCACCTCCTGATCACCTTACATTTTTGGTTGGGGGCCCCCCCCTCGTGCCCTGTTTATGTTTGACTAACCGGAACATATGACAGGATGAAATGTTTGGCAGAAGAAACATTGTATTGGACACTTAATAGCCTATTGTCCTAATAGACTACATACAGCATAGTGTAAACATCACCTTTATGCACTGGAAAACCAACAAATTTGTGTGACTCACTCTATTGTGATGTTTGCTTTGCGTCATTGGTCTGGAACTTAGCTTGAAATATTTTCAGTGTATGCCTTTAAATGGGACTGAGATACAGTAAGTGAGTCATTAGTGATCAAGAAACCAAAAAAATTAAGGATAATAGAGTAGCTTAAATTTGAGAGAAAATGTTCAGAAAGAATTTGAGGTGCTTATTATGTGTTTGTTTGTTTTCTTTTTTTAACAAATGAATATTCAGCATCTCATCCACTGAAACAACCTTTAATATGATTTACTGTATCTCTTGAATACTCATTCATGCATGCAATACTAACCTGCATGCCTACTATCTGCTAAGCAGTATTTGAAGAGCTAGAGATACAGCAAGGAACAAAATAAAGCCTCTCCTCTTATAGATCTTACATAGTGGGGAGAGTGGGAGCAACCAGTGAACAAACTGGAAAATGTGTATATAAAATAGATGAGGTGATAAAAAGTGCTTTAAAAAATAGAAGAGATTAGAGAATGAAGTAGGTACTATTTGAAGTCAAATGGTCACAAAATACTCCTCTTATGACAGGGTAATAAGCAAAGGCCTGGATAAAAGAGGAAATAAACCATACTGTTGTCTGATTTAAAAAAAAAAAAAAGCACTCCAGGAAAAGAGCACCACATATGCAAAGGCCCTGGGATAGAAGCACACACGCCTGGCGTCTTTGAAGATTGCAGTAAGCAAGGGGAGAATGACCGAACTGCAGATCAGAGAAGTGTTAGGGGACAAGTTTGAGATCTTGTTTGCCATGACAGGATATTGGCTTTTACTTTGATCTGCAAAATCATTGGAAGGTTTTAAGCAGACAAAAAACATTAATTGTCTTATGCTTTTAAGGCTTACCCTGGTTGCTCAGTGAAGAATAAAGTACAGGGAACATGAGAGAATACATGGGAGATCAATCAAGATGCTACTTCAGTAATCCATGACAATGACAACGTAAAGTAATGCAAGGTGCACGTGATGGGTATGGTAAGGAGATTAGATTCTGAATAGAGCTCAACAGTGTATGCTGATATGAGGTGTAAGAAACAAAAAGGAGTCAGGGTGAGTTTTCTGGCCTAGTAGCTGGTACACTAGAGAGATTATTTACTGAGATGGGGAAGACCGATGAGTGGAGGGTCCAGGGGTTAAGAGTGGAGGATCAAGGATTTCCTTGTGGAAGTGTGCTGTTTTCATTGTATATTAATCTTCCTAGTGGCAATAATTAGCAGGCAATTATATAGGAGTCTAGACTTCAGAGGAAATGTAAGAGCTGGAGATATACATTTATGTATCATGTGCATATAGATGGAATTTAATACCATCAGGCTTTGTGAGATCCCATAGGGATGAGTGCACATAGAAAAAGGGCTGAAGACTGAGGCCTGGGATACTCCCATGTTAAAAGATGAATGTTTCTTTGACAGTTCGCATTTATAGAAATGATGGCACAATAGCCTAATGCTGAAACCCTACTCAGTTCATGGTAAAACACAATTTTTATTTTTTTGGGTCGCTGAATAGCATTTAAAATTCAGAATATTTGCAGTGATCCCAAATATCTTAATAAAGATGAAAACCTAAGTTCAGATTGGTGGCCTAGACTCTGCCTTCCTTGATCCTCCCATTTAAAAATAACAATAATGATAAAAATAAGAAGAAAATATTTATGGGTCACTAGATAATGTAATACACTCAAAGGCAGATCCATTTTTTTCTACTGTACCATTTTAGCTATCAGTCTATACACAGTACTTTGATTAGAAATGCACAGTCACTCTCAAGTCAATAGCAGTTTATAAATACAGGACAAAAAGCCTGGCCTGGGCAGGCTGAGCAATAATTGAGAGAACAAGTAGATATGAAGCTAACAAATAGCACTGTGAATCAGAAGTAGGGAGATAAGCCAGAGGCAGCACAAGTGGCAGGTCAAGACAGGTAGATAGACAGAAGCCAGGAGTGAGAGGTGAGATGTCCAAATTGCAATAAAATACTCAAGCACGAGTCAATCCACTGAAGCTTACACCAGGAGGGGTAGCTGAGGGAAGGGCCGTTCAGGTAAAGTGAAAGGAATGAAGATGTGAACAGGAGACAGGAGGGTGCAAGCTATTTGATATATTAGGAGAGGAGGTACTTTTTTGAGGCTAAGAAAATAACTTGTAGTCAGAATTTGAAGGACTATTTAGACCATGTTAAACAGCGAGCAGTTGATTCTACATGAGAATTCTTAAGAGAAGATTTAAGAAGACTTAAGAGACTTCAGAAGACAGGCTCCGCAGGACCTGGATGAGGGGGTGTGAGATACTCACAGTATTTTAACCCAAAATTAAGGATATTAGAAGCTACAGGAATAAAAGAAACAGTCCCAGGGCTGTGGGTAGGAGGATTAATGGGGTTCCATTTTAGACAGGAAGAGGAAAAAAATTTGGTAATTCATTTTGATTGAGCAAGCAAAAAAAATTGAAGCTGAGCATTATGGAAGTAACAACAATGTTTTGTGATGTTGAGATAGAAAACAGGCCCAAGAGAGCCAAATATTTTACATTTCCCTTCTGGTTAGATAAATAATAAGAATCTTCCTGTTAAGGTTTATGAAATCCCATTGTTTCAATTAATCAAAAGGAGAGAGGATCAATTTAAACTTTATAAAGTACAAGAAAATCAGTTGTCTCTTTAGAAAAAGTGAGTCAGTATTTCCTGTGGTCTCAAATCATCCTAAAATAATGGTCTATGAGACAAATGAGAATCCGCTTACTTATCTAGCTTTGTCTTTGATAGATTAAAAGTCTGTACAAAATCTTGCTATATCACAAAGACACTAATGTGCCCAACTGTATATAAAATATATAATTCACAGTATATAAAAATATACATCAAGAAATTTTAAAAAACATTGTATTCTAAAGGGAAAGATCATTTCAAATTGTTTTTTATAAACATTAGACTACCTTTGTTCATGCAAATGTGTTTAAACTATTTCTTACCCCTGATAATAGGTATAAGCCTAGGAATTATTTTTGATTATGATTTGGTCTGTAAATAAATCATGAAGGTAGACCATCCTCCCTGGAAGCATTGAGGTACCATAAAACTTTGACATTGGAGGTGACAGATTGTAATATGGTTTAATCATGTATTTGTTATGAGAACTCTGACAAGCCTGAGTTACAAGTAAGCTTGGAAACACAAATTCTGTGAAAAATACTACACACTCACACACACACAGACAGACACACACTATCACTTCTCTCTTTTTATCTTGACATAGAAAATGTAAGTATACCAAGAAGTAATCTCCAAAGAGCAAATAAAACAGAAATTTCAAACAAGTGCCTGGGTAGGAGATGCAATTTTAACATTTGTTTAAATTTAACGTTGTTTAACATTGTTTAAGTGCCTCTCATCTCTGCCTCATAAACCTATAGTCATTTTTCATAACTGCCTGAAATAGCACCTCCTCTGTAACAACTTTCCTGTTCTACCCATCAAATATACTTGCTGGTTGACTGTATCCTCTTGCTCAGAACACATGACACTTTCTACAGGGTGCTGTCTATGCTTTGACAGTAACAGGACTTTTGGGCAGGGATTTTCCAATTCATTGTCTAACTCCCACTACAATTGTCCTTCACCATGCACCCGGCAGGCACTTGAAGTGCTGGTTGAGCACTAAAATCTTGGAATGCTACATAGCCATTCCAACGTAAATAATCATTGTTTAAAACATTTTGAAAGTTCTTTTGGAACTGACTTTTTAGAATTTTTAAATATCTCAGTGATAAGTCTTCACTCTTCAAGTTAGATCGTATTTTATTTTAGAAACATCAAAAGCCATACAAAACCAAGCCTGTATATTTGTGCATTCTGTCTTCTTCCCCCTCAATGCTAAGGAAGGTTTCTTTTTCCTAGGCCAAATGCTCCACAAATAAATGTGTTGAATGAATGAACAAATGAATAAGCGAAGTGAATGGAACATCAAACTGCATAAAAATATATTTATTCATAAATGAGAGGTGATGATTGCCAACATATCATAATCAGACTCTGACCTTGGTTACTTATGAGTTTGACAACGAAGAGGAAAGAGGATCAGGTAAGTCCCTAAACACCGAAGATGTACTGAGACCTTTCCACATGCCCAAAGAAGATACTCTTGCAGAGGAGAAATGATGAAGAGGCCCAGTCACAGATGCAGGAGGAAGTTTAATTGACTGAATTTGTCTAGGATGGGAGGGATTAAATGAGGTTTGAAATGAAATAGAAATTGCTAAACTCCTGACTAGACAATTACTGCCATCCATCTCTTACATGTGCCCCTAAATAAGCACTAACAGTGCCTTGGGCAGAGACCCCAGTGACTACCTAATAGTAGCCTTCAAGAGCATCACTTCCCACTCTCCTGCCCTGCCTCACTTTCCTCCTAGGTCTTATGGGATGGATGATAGATGTCATTCCCTGGTTCCCTAACGCTCAAGTCTAGCCCCTCATTTCCTGGCAAGCATCAAGCTTGATTGTGTCTGTAACCTCTCAGAAGTCAGACCTCAGAAGTGTGCTTTTCTGGGAAATCGGGGTCAGGGAGGAAAGAAGGAGGGAATAAAGACATTGTAATAGATTTATATATATCATTGTAACTCATCCACACAACAATCCTGTAAGGTGTGGCCACTGTACTCAGAAAACTGAGGCTCAAAGAGATTGAGTAACTTACCAAAACTTCACATGTACTAAAAGTGGAGCCTAGATTTCAAACACCTGTAAGACTCTGAAATCTATATTAGCTCTTCTATACATGAGCCTAAAATGCAACTGTAAACCAATAAGACTGACTTCCTCTTGAGGCTTATCACTAGCTCTGAATAGAAGCATTCCCAAATGCTGTCTAAGCAATTGTTGCGTCATGGGAATAAGTTGATAAATTCTCAGGGTTACATACTCCTTTAGATGCACTGGAACTTTTCTCAGTATGTAGAATCAAGTGTAAGGAAAAAGGATTTGAAGGGGAAGGGGAGAAATAAAACAGGACTGAGCCTTACACGTGTTGACCAGAACAGATAATGTTTGGATTTTCTTTACTTTTTTCCCAGAGAAATCGAATAAAGAAGTTTGTTTCTGTTACCTAAAATCAACTCCCTCCCACCTTAAGTGGTTTTGTATAGAGCCCATAGTTGAACTCTGTTTTCTACAGCAGAGATTCATTTTAATGTTTTTATATTATATCAAGGCAAGTTTGATTTCTTTCTGGGTAACTATAGGCAGAATGTCAGCAATACTCCACGTATTAGCTATTAGAGATAAAACACTGTGAAACTCTAAAGGCCTTGATTATTGGGCCAATGAGATATTTATGCTGTGATCTGATGGAGCAAAGCTTTGACAGGGTTATTGAGCCACCTTCAAAGTGTATCAGTGAAGTTCTTGGCTTGCTATTTTAGATAAACAGCTTTCATTTTTACTAGTTGCTTGTACTTAATAAGGTTACTGGATTGATTCAAGTTGTTTGCAATGCGTTGAAGGTGAAGAGTATTGTATCTAGTGTCCTCATAACACACTATTACTTTTCTGAGGAAGGGTCTTGTCATTTTACCCTAGATATCAACAGAAAATATTCCATTTCTTATATATTAATTTTGCTCTGCAATAAGGAAATATAACTACCAAAAATGCCATCGAAGGTTTTAGGTTGATGCTTATTTGTGTTTCCTAATCTGTAGATAGCAGGGTCTTTTTTTAAATTTTTATTTTTTGTTTTGGTACAGGGTCGGCTTTGTTGCCCACTTGGAGTGTAGTGGCACAACCTTGGCTCACTGCAACCTTCTCCTGAAGTACATATTAGCTCACCTGGGCTCAAGTGATCCTCCCACCTCAGTCTTTTGAGTATCTGGGATTATTGGCATGTGCCACCAAGCCTTGCTAATTTTTGTATTTTTTGTAGACACAGGATTTTGCCACGTTGGCCAGATTTGTCTTGAACTCCTAAGCTCCAGTGATCCACCCACCTTGGCCTCCCAAAGTGCTAGGATTACACGTGTCACCATCGTGGCCAACCAGCAAGCTCTCTTTTAATGATTCAGAGTCTCAGGCCATAGCAGTATAAGTATCAAAACATCTATTCCCAACTTGGAGTTGAGATTTCTAATACGAATTCTATTTTCTCCATAATCATAAAATAGCATCAGGAAAAGTCTCTTGACATCTTAAAATACATATCACTGGAAAGTAGATCTTTTTGTCCTTCAGATAAACATACTGTAAAATTTGAAATGAAAATTATTCTTTGTACCACCATTCTGATTTTACCCAGGGTTAACACAAAAGTTATAGCAGTACATGAAGCTCTGAGGCTTCAATGGGTGTAGATATAGACATCCAAACCTATAATTTTACATTAATCAGAATACTATTCATATAAATCACAAATGGCAAAACCATTTCTGAAGGTATTTGGTTTTATAGATTATAAAATTAAACTTCCTTATAATTGTGTCCAAACTGAAATATGCTTCCTGTACAAAAAAGCTTTCTTCTAACAGTAAAGGCCTCCTCCCAACCCACCCGACACATACACACACACACACACACACACACACACACACACACACACACGAAGAGAGAGAGAGAATTTAGAGCACTGATCTTTTCTCTCTTAGACTAATTATTTTAACATTATTTTCAGCCACTTTATTAATTGTGGGGTTAAGGGTAGGATAGATCTAATGCCCATTTCACATGTGTTGCAACATCAGAGATTATGGTTTTCATTAAAAACATCAGAGCTAAATTCCTTTTCAAAAAAGACATTGTTACTGTTAGTACCTTGGGGAATGTTGTAGTCTTATGAATGCTGATACGTTTATTTGAGCCAATTGAATATTATCTCTAATATAAACTATAATTTACTGTGTGATTCCTCTTCCTGTTTTACCTATATATACTCAAAGTGAATGATTGTGTTTAGTGAACATTTCTTTAGGTAATAAAAATTAATTTCATTTAAGAAAGAAGTACAAAATAGTTATTAGAGCAAACTTTGGTATTTGTAATTTTGAAGTTACATACTTTTGAAATAAACTTGGGCTTTCATGCCATGTTGGGTTTGAGGAAGATAGCAAATGTATAAATTGAGCTCTCTAGTCATAACCTTGCTATATGTATTCCTGCTCATTAAAATACTTTGCGCCAGCAAAAATGATTTCCAACATATGTGTTTTGGATGTAATTAAGTAACTGTATAAAACTAAGTATGTTTTTTCTCCTTTCCCCAGTGACTGGAAAACTTTCATACTTTTAAGGTAATAATAAAATAATAATCTTTAAAGAGCAACAGCCCTTAACTCTTTGCTGGTGCTTGCCATACTGCCCTTCTTTACTCCATTCTTAGCTCTTCTAGCTGCTTCTTGTAATAATGAAATGGGAATGTGGATGGGTTATGACTTTTGTGTATGTCCCATTTCCAAATTTCCCTCTCCAAAAAGCCAACCAAATAAACAAAAATAACAGTGCAACAAAACACAAACAGCATTCCAAACGTTTGGCAAGTGATGCTTTCATCTGGGATTAAGTAGTTTTAGGCAGTCAGTAACAAAATGCTGTTCTGCTGTCATAGTAGAAAGGCAGCACATTCTTAAAAGGAACCAAGAAGACTACACTCTTGGCAAAGTCTCTTATTAGCTTTCTCCTATCTCTTCTCCCCAACCACACTGTAAACTGCAAAACATACAGCAAAAAGAATTGGCTTAAAGGCAATTGATGTTTGTAAATAAATCCACAATAGGATCCAAGCTAAAGAGGTGATACATGGTCAGCCTAGTAGGACAATTCAGAGCATGTGCATATGCAAGTAAAGGCCAGACTATATATTTTTTAAACGTCAGTGCATTTTGTTGTGTTAAAATTTTTTCAAAGCTTTATTTTGTTCCTTGTGTGCTAACTACAAATAAGTTTTAAAAGAGTATCAAAAGTCTGCCAAAAACAAAAAAGCTGTAGTGACATCGAACCATACGATGTAAGCATTGAACATGTGCAATTTTTCATATCTACAGAAGAAAATCATCCCTCTTTACAACATGGTTGGGCTGATTTTTAAGAAATAAAAGATAATACATCAGAAAAGCAAATATTTGGCATCTACATATTCAATATCTAGAACCATGCAGAGTAGAAGATTTAAAGAAATATGAAGAACAAAACAGTTATTTTGTTTTAGGAGTTTACAATCTGTAGTCAGAAACTAATATAAAAATTTTGAGTATAGAAAGAGCAAAAGCACGTCAGGTGCAGTGGCTCTCAGCTGAAATCCTAGCATTTTGGAAGGCCAAAGTGAGAGGATTGCTTGAGCTCAGGAGTTCAAGACCAGCCTGGGCAACATAGTGAGACCTTGTCTCTATGAAAAAACTTTTAAAAATTATTTTAAAAAGAAAGCAAAAGCAAATATGAGAGAAAACATTAGAAATCAGAGCTTGGGCAAAGAGTTCAGTGTCAGCAAAGCAGCTCTGCCTTGGGGTATCTCTGGAACATCCTGGCTTTCTCTATAGGCCCCACCACATGGCCTTTTCCCATCACTTGGAAGCCACCATATCATGTCAGGTTTTCCCTCAAACTTTTTAACCTAATTTATTCTGTCAAAAAATATATATCTATTGAATCTTTACTGTGAGCTGGGCACTGTCCTATGTAATGATAATATAGCAAGGATATAAAACAAAAATGCTTACCGTCATACAGATTACATTCATGTGAGGCAGGACACACTATTAACAAAATAACTATATAAAATACATAATATTCCAAAAGGTGATAACGGTACAGAGAAAAATTAAGCATGGAAGGGGGATACACAACACTGGAAGTGGGTAGAAGTAAAGACATATCAAATGCTCAAGGAAGGTGTAGTAGGCAGAATAATAGCTTTCCTACGTCTGTATCTTTATATGGCGAAGAGACTTGTGGGTGTGATTAAGTTATGGATCATGAGATGAGAAGATTATTCCGGATTAGCCAGGTGAACTCAGTGTAATCACGAGAGTGATTATAAGCAAAAGAAGGAGGCAAGAAAGTCAGAGGCAAGAGATGTGGTGACAGAGGTCAGAATAATGTAGTTGCTGACTGGAAGGAAGCCATGAGCCATGGGATGTGTGCATTCTCTCAACGCTGGTGAAGGCAAGAAAATGAATTCTCCCCTAGAGGATTATAGGGGAGAAGCGTGTTCCTTTTAGCAACTAAATGTATGCTAATTTATTCCAGTAGTCAGGAAACTAATATAGAAAGTCTTTCTGAGAAGACAACATTTGAACAAAGACTCCAAGGAGGTAAGTGCACCAGCTTTGCAGATACCTGGGGAAGAGCACTCCAGGAAGAAAAGGCAGACAGCAGGGTACACGCCCTGATCAGGAGCATGTCTAGCCCAGTGGCATGAAGTAGAGCAAGACTGGGAGTCAGAAGGGTAGGAGGAGACAGGTGAGAGAGAGATTTAGTTGAGTCAACTCACTTACAGCTTCATTATCTTTAAGAACGTTGGCTTAGTCTGAATGACACATGGAGTATAGAAGAGTCTGTGAATATTTATAGATATTCTGAATGTTTGCAAGATAAATAAAAGTGGTGCACTGGTAAACCTGGTTGGGGGAAGGAAAAAAAAGCCCAGATTTGTAGCATTTGCTGATTTCCATTGTGTGAATATTTCAACCGATGGTTTGACAAACATGTCACAAAATTTCTGAGTATTTAATTTTCACCTCCATTAGAGCACTGCACATATGACATTCCATTTGTCAATTCCATCCTGTATTCCATTTGGGCCAAGAAGTATCGGAGTCAACTAGTGACAAAAATAAGAAAGTCCTCAATAAAAACCAGTGTCTACATTTGACTGATGTAAGGATCTGAAATTCATTTTTCTTTATCTGCTTTGCCTGGTGATTAAATTATGATTTTAGAAGAAACATTTTTAATTCCTTATCAGAGTGTTACTACTGAATAAATACAAGACATAGTTTAACTATATGTAATCTTGTCTATATATATTTTCAACAGAAACATTATAGATGCCAGATTCACAAAAGAAGATATATGATAGAAGCTGGAATTGTTTGAATAAAAAGAGTCAAATTTTACATTGGATTAACCAGAGGGAAGAAAGTAGATGGATAGGAAAGGAGAAGGCAGGCTTAGCCAAGCCAAAGAAAGAGACTAGACTCAGGAGGCACTGGGAGAAAAAGGAACTCTGTCAAAGAAGAGTACCATTATAGTTTGAAGAGAGCTGAGAGGCTGTTAAGTCCCCCATGTCGTTCCTAATCCAAAAACACCCGATCCTAAACACTATAATCCTGAATGTTGAAATCCTGAAACATCAAAATCCCTAAGTCTAAAATCCTTATCTAACATCCAGAAGATCACTATCACAGGACAGTTGCACCATGGTATTGCATCATGTTAAATGTAATTATTTCCTTGTTTACTCTTTATTCGGAAATTAAGCATGGCTAAGAAGGTATGTAGAGGTGCCAAGTCAACAAGGGGTGGACCCATGGACTTAATTTTAGGTGTCAACTTGGCTGGGTTAAGGAATGTCTGGAAACTTGGTAAAGCATTATTTTGGGTATGCCTCGAGGGTGTTCTCAGAAAAGATTAATGTGTAGGTCTGAGTGGACTAGGTGGGAAAGATCTGTCAATGTCTGGAATATAGAAAAAGTGAAAATGAAGGTAAAAAATGCACAGAATCTTTCCTGCCGAATTATTATTGATGTACAACTTCTGACACTTGCCTTCACAAAATGCCCTTTGTCAGAGAATAAAAAGAGTTCAACAAGCTTGGCGGCCTTCTGAACCAGGTACTTGCTGGCACAGAGGTTCCTTCAGGGCTACAAGACACATTAAGTCATGAACTATTCTTGATTAAAGATTTGACTGTGAAAGAAGATAGACATATTTATTTACCACTAAATCTAACATTAAAAAAAATGCATGTTTTACTTTGGCTAATGAATGTCACTTTCAAAACCATCCCTAGTGTTTCTTTGTTTGTTTTTACCAACTTTATACAATTTATGCGTCTATCAGATTCCAAAATTCTATAATGTAATATACTGTTTATGTATTACTGGCTGGAAAAAGTGAGGCATTTTATAAATGTTTATTTGAAGATTTGGTGGACTTTGCAGAAGAAAATAGATTTCAATTGCATCCCCAAGTTAAAATGACAGGTTTGGAACTAGGTGTGACAAAGGCTTCTGAAAGTGAATTGCAAGGTGTTACCAGTAAAGTTTGCTTTTCCATTTAGTCCAATTCATTTGGTGGAAAATTCAGGTGAGTTTAGTGGCCAAGCCCATATGGCAGTGATGAAAATTTTAGTTTAAAAATGCATCGTTTATCCATAGTGGCATTTCTTCTACCCGATAAAATTCCAGGAGCTTTTAACAAATTAAACCACATTTTCCTAAAGAAGCCAGCAAGGTTACTTACTGGTTTAAAAATAATTATGTGCAAGGTAAGATAAGAAGTCATTTAGGGCCAGGCATGGTGGCTTATGCCTGTAATCACAGGATTTTGGGAGGCAAAGGTGGGTGAATCACTTGAAGTCAGGAGTTCAAGACCAGCCTGGCCAACATGGCGATACCTTGTCTCTACTAAAAATACAAAAATTATCCGAGTGTGGTGGCACACACCTGTAATCTCAGCTACTCGGAAGGCTGAGGCAGGAGGATCCCTTGAACCCAAGAGGGGGAGGTTGCAGTGAGCCGAGGTCATGCCACTGCACTCCAGCCTGGGCAACAGAGTGAGACTCTGTCTTATTAAAAAAAAAGAAAAGTCATTTAGGCAATGGTGTTGCTGTCCAATCAACAGTATTGTTTCTGCCAAATTTGTGGCCTGTAGATTAGTGCATGCAAAGTAGATACTCAAAACAATATAGAAGCATGGCGTAGAAGATTGAAAAACATAATAGGAAGTGTTCATCTCAGTGTATATTGAATTACAGAAGAATTTCAGAGTGAGCAGTGCGACATAGAAAATGAATGTGAACATATTCTCTGAGATGTGAACATATTCTCTGAGGAAAGTCATGTCCTTAAAGGCAGCTATTTATTGTGATGCAAGACTTCAAAATACAGTTAATAATCATAAAAGTCAACTAGCTATTATGAACTCTGCGTAGTTGCCCATAATCTATCCCTGTAATGTATTTTTATATGTCAGTTTTCTTTTTAGTTTTATTTTTAAGTTTTTTTCCACTATTTTAAATTGTCAGCATTATTTATTTACAACTCACTATGCTGTGTATTTCTTCTTAGCATCATTTCCAGTACTGAAGGTATAAACTGTGTAAAGAGTTTTAGAGAGTTCTAATTTGCTTTATGCATTTTTTTTGCAACTTTGACTCCACAAAAGTGCATTATCACATTGACTTTATGTGTAAGCGTTGTTTGTAAACCTAAAAATATTAAAACTTTCTCAATAGATGAGATATTCTTTTTGCATATCTGCATTTGTGAAAGAGAAAATTTCTGAGAATCTCTTTGACTTTGACTGCATATTCGGTGATGATCTGTGACAGCTTTTGATCAATCTGGTCTAAAGACCTAGGTAGTCTGTCACAGTATTTCAGATGACCTGTTATAACACTGGATGCACACAACTACTAACCATGCATTTATGCATTTTGCTTATTGACCTATTTTTTATATGATTCATCTGCTCATAAATGTTATACCCATGTGACTCTGATTAATATACCTGTTTATGCTTGCAAACATATGTATGATGTTGTTGCCTATTTTATTTTGTAAGGTGACCTAGGAAGTATTCTGTTGTGTTTTTTATGTTTCTCAAATAAATCCCCTCCTAAAAATGTCAATAAATGCCTTTTAAATCATTTTTTCCAGATTTATAGTTTTAGAATTTTGGGGTTTGGGGGATTGTAATTTTAGGATTTTAGACTGTAGAGATGTATATCTTTTTGGAGTTCAACATTTGGGATAATGGCATTCAGGATTGTGTCTTTCTGGATTATGGCCCAGACCTGTTTATTTCAACACTCTATTTTACACAAGAGGAAAGCAAACCATGTATCCAGTTGCAATGAAAGCTTACATAGACATCATGTATAGATTATATCCTAGGAAAACATGATTAAGATGACACATAGTGACTTTTCTTTTTCAGTGAAAGAGATCCACATCCTTTTTCTTGTGTGGAACTAAACATGATTTCTGAGTTAATGTAGTTTAATGCAAATCACCATGATCACTTAACCCATGCTTCTTTATTAAAGGAGGTAGAAGGGATGTGATTTGATGGGAGGATGGCCCGGGATCCAGGACCTGGGAAAGATGCAATGAGTAAAGGGGAGCAACAGAAAAGTAGGGAATAAAGTAAGCGTGAAGAGTCATCAACTTCCCTCACTGCTCCTGGCCTCTGGCATTGGAAGCCCAGAGGTCTTTTCTAGGGCCTCAGAGAAGCTTCCAGGTCTGTTCATTTCTTTTTCCCCACCCCTGCTTGTATCACAAATAAATTACTGACACCTAAATTTCTGACTAGGTGGTAGAATTTTAGGGATCCTTCACCTCATCAGAATTCCATGTAAGTTGTGGGAGTCATATGGGTTAAGTAAGCAATAGTCCTTGAGATTATTTGATCATATAAATCATCAGAAAATGTTTAGTCATCTTGATTTTATCATAATGTGTAGCTAGGGGAGGCTGGAGGGAGAGGACTGGAGTGAGAAGAGACAGCAAAAGAGGTGGCTTTTATGCATGGGGCTCTATGAAGTAATCAGGCCTAAGTGGAACCGAGAGGGACCTTGGAGCAGTTCTGGAGAGGAAAGCTTGGGGCACAAGTCGTCTGTTGATGGTGAGGCTTAGGCCCTGGCTCCAACCAATCACATCATCTTTCTGACTGGGATGCCTAAGCAGTGTGTTTTTTGTTTGTTTTAGTGTTTGTTTTTTGGTAAAGCATACAGTGGCATTAACTAAATTCACAGTGTTGTGCACTCATCACCACCATCCATTTCCAGAACTTTTCCATCATGCCAAACAGAAACTCTGTGCCCATGAAACAGCTGTTATTTGCATTAGAATCTGTTCTAAATATTTTGTGTAAGTTCTCACTTAGGCATCACAATGATGTCCTGTGAGATAGCTACTATATTTATCTCCACTTTATCGATGAGAAAATTGAGGCACAGGAAGCCTATGTAACTTTGCTTGTAAGTGAAAGGCCTTAAAGTAGAATTCAAGCCCAAGTTGAACTGAACCCAAAGGCCAAGCTTTTTTCTATTCAAACAGGCCACTCTTTTATTATTGTAGTGAGTAATAAGAGCTAAAAAATATTATGTTTTTTTCAGGAGAAAATTATTTGTTTTGAAGGTAGAGGAAGAGCATGCTATTTAATGTTTACTATTACATGAATTACTCTATGTTTTGAGATGGTGTACTGAAACTTTCTAAAAATTTATCTCAATCTCATAGAATGGATCTACATTTGTCCTGTGTCAATGGCTATCCAGAAGCGGTAACTTTGCTGGTGCACAGAAAGTGCCAGCTTAACGTGTGTGACGGTGAAAACACGACACCTCTGATGAAGATATATAGTAGCCAGTTATTTCAGCATGAGATGGATTTGGTTTAAATACATAGAATAAAAATGGATTTATTTCATTGAAATGTAACTAATTTGTGAACCTATGGAATATTTATTTGTATTTTCTAGAATTTACAATGTGTTTCTTGGTCTAATACTGACAGGCTATACAATGCCAAGAAGATGTTTATGCAACTATTCTGCTGGACTTTGGTGCCTATCCAGATATTACAGATATCAACAGAAAAACTGCTCTCCACTGTGCTGTCTATAGTGAGAATATGTCAGTGGTGGCAAAACTGCTTTCACACAACACAAACATCTAAGTGAAAAATGGAGTAGAGAATAACCAACATTATTTTCAAAATATTTGAAATCCATTTGCTTTAACACTGACATGCGTTAGGGTCAGTTTTTCATATTTGGAAGCTCAAGCATGCTCTTCTGTGAATGAAAATATTCTGAAGTAACTGTCTAATAATTTAAATATTAATGTTTTTAAAGAAGTATTAGACGGTATAGCTTTCTTTCATGCATTTATGATAAATATTTAAATTTATTAAAGGTAAAAGTTTGTTTTTCAAATATTTTAGCCACTCAAGTTTTTGTTCTTTCTAATTAGTGTAAAACAACACAGAAAAGCAAAATGTGCCTGCATAAACTGAGTCAACATGTAAACCTTTTGATATTTATTATTAAATAAGTTATTTGGCAATGTATCAAATTTTTAAATGTGTGTCCCTTTTGACCTAGAAATTCTACTCCCAGGAATTTCTCCTAAGAAGATAATCAGAAAAGTTTACAAAGATGAATAGAAAAGAAGAGTCACTGCAGCCTTATTTGTAAAAGTGAAAAATAGCAACAGCCCAAATGTCATGAATGGAGAATTAATATATGGTGCATCCATACAAAAATACTGTGCAGCGAGTAAGCCAATGAAGCCCAAAATTTCTGACATGGACATTGACATAGCAGAGTGACAATAACGAGGTTATAAAACATCATCAGTGAAAGGTCTATTTGTACAAATTAATTTTTTGAGTGTATACTTAGGGTATATAAAATGTATTTGGTTAATGTCAAAATAATTATCTTTGCTTAAGTAAAATTTGGGGGCAATTTAAATTTTTTAATATATTTTCTTATATTGACCAGTTTTCTTAAAAAGTAGATACTATTTTTATAATCATACAACAGCAAGAGAGGAGCTCTCATACCTTCTCCATTCTTCTGTATTACCTATTACATAGTGAATTTTTTTCTAAAATTAATACTGAATAAAAGTTTCCACAGCTTTAAAATAAAGGCCTAAAAACCACTCTTTCAGATTAGATCCTGGGCAACTAAAATTTTAAACACCTAAACAACACCAAGCACTTAAAGCTTGAGAACTTAAATTTAAGAAAAATGGTTGAACAATTTTTGTTTCCACCCTTGATATCTGAATGGTTAAACAATTTTAAAACGATTTTTTTTTTTTTTTTTTTTTTTTTTTTTGGTAAATGTGGGACCTCCATGTGTTGTTGCCCAGGCTGGTCTCGGACTCCTGGCCTCAAGTAAGCAATCCTCCCACCTCAGCCTCCCCAAGTGCTGAAATTGCAGGCATGAGTCACTACACTTGGCCTTTTAAAATGATTTTAGTGAAGGCAATCTAATTCACTTTAGAGTTGAATTCTCAAGTAACTGCTTTTAAAGGTACTTTCTCAACCTACGCAAAGCTCTTAATAGGCCATGACTGTTTGGCCAACTTCTACATTGTACATCAGATGTTTTCTCTTCTGTGACCTCCAAGTTCAAGTTTGCTGTTAGGTGAGCCCACCTCTGCTTTTTTTTTTTTTTTTTTTTTTTTTTTTTTTTGTTGAGACGGAGTCTCACTCTGTTCCCCAGACTGGAGTGCAGTGGTGCCATCTCGGCTCACTGCAAGCTCCGCCTCCTGGGTTCATGCCATTCTCCTGACTCAGCCTCCCGAGTAGCTGGGACCACAGGCGCCCGCCACCATGCCCGGCTAATTTTTTTGTATTTTTAGTAGAGACGGGGTTTCACCGTGTTAGCCAGGATGGTCTCTATCTCCTGACCTCGTGATCCGCCCACCTCGGCCTCCCAAAGTGCTGGGATTACAGGCGTGAGCCACCGTGCCCAGCCCCTTCGAGTTAACTTTCTAAATATTCACTTGATGAAAAACAAAGCAGTAAAGGAGGAATAGAAGAACAAAAATCACATGAAATATAAAAAGTAAATAAATTCAATCATCTCAACAGTAACATTAAATGTGCATGGATTAAACAATGCAATCTAAAGGTAGAGATTGTCAGACTGATAAGAAAACCATGATCCAACTGTATTATTTATAAGAGACACACTTTAGATTCAAAGATATACATGGACTGAATATAAAAGGTGCAAATAGTAGCTAAGAGAGCTGAAGTAGTAACATGGTTTGAGTGTGTCCTCTAAAAGTTCTTGTGTTGAAAACTTGGTCTCCAACATAGCAGTGTTGAGAGGTAGAACCTCTGGGAGGTGACCAGTAGAACCTTTCAGAGGTAAAACTTTTGAGAGGTAGAACCTTTGGGTGGCAAAGTCCTCATGAGTGAATTAATCCATTCATGGGTTAATGAGGGAGTGGGTCACTTATGACAAAAGTGGATCTCTTATAAAAGCCAATTTGGCTATCGCTTGTGAGTAATTTATAAAATAGTCTCAGGTATTCAGTTATAGCAACAGGAAAGAGACTAAGGTAAGTATACATACTAACGTCAGACAAAATAGACTTAATTTTCAGCTACCACCCTGATCCCTGGCACTGTTTCTGCTCTGATGACCACTTAAAGAGTTTGCTCTGGGAATAAAAACTCATTCAAATATATTTCTAAGATAGATAAATATAGATTCTATCGATCTATATCTATCATCTGTCTATCTATCTATCTATCTATCTATCTATCTATCTATCTATCTATCTATGTATCTATTTATCTTTATAAAGGCTAAGCTCCTGCTGGAATTAACAAACATTCCAAAATAAAAAAGTGCCTTCTGGATTAGCTTGCTGTTGATTGCTTACAGGGAATCACGAACTGGCCAAAACCAGTTTCAATACCTGTCGCAAGTATTACCCACGCATTTTGTAAATTTAAATCCTAAGTTTGCACCACTTTGAGAGGGAAACAAATTCCTTGTAGTATGAGGCAGCTTCCAGGAGTAGCCAATCCTCAGGCAGAGGTGGGAACCGCTTCCATATGCCATTTGTATGCATGCACTTGCAAGCAAGGCACAAAAATAAAAAGGCTGTGAGCAAAGACCTTTATGATTGATGGTCTCTGATCTCGGAAAAATACTCTTGAGAGTGTTTGTCTTGTTGTCTTCTCCTCCCCAAGGCAAGGGTTGAGGCTGCAGGATGGAGTGGAGCAGAGATGTGTTGCACAGGCCACATGGGCCTCCTGGCTGGATAAGCTCCCCCACCTGAGAGGTGAAGTCTGGGTGGAAGTGCTCCAGATAGGTGACATGGCTTCCTATCCACATCACATGGACACAGGACATGGTCTGTTATCTCTTATGCTGTATGTTTTTCCCAGTTGACTTCTCATCCTCCCCCAAGCCACTCACTGACTCCACTGGGGCAAGGGAACCTCAGATTTCTTACTTAGAAAACACCCCAGGAGTAAGGATTTTAGGTAAATTCCAGTGAAAGGTGAGTTTGAGAGAGAACACCTGTGAGGCTAGAAAGAACATTCTTTTAATTCTCTAATTTTAAGCAAAAGTTAGTGTTAGATTAATCTAATTCCACCCACCAGGAGGCTAAGACTCCCCTAGTAAAAGAAACGTCAACACAGGGACAAAAGGAGTCCAAAAATGTATTTGTCATTTTCTCGGAAGCTGCTGATATTAGTGAGAAGAGGATGCTTGCTGAGGCAGTGGCCTCCCTGGGGCCTCCCACAGGTGAGGGCTGATGGGACCTGCTTTTTGCCAGCAACTTACCTGGTACATCCGTAGCTGGAAGAAGTGCCTCTCCTTTTCCATCTCTTCAGCAATTTCCATCCTGCTTATTTTAGTCCAGATCATCCCGTGGAGCCTGATGTGTTCCTTTTTCTCCTTTTCTTAGTTCCAAGTGTGAAAGCAAGGATAAATCAAGATGCCTCTTGGCATGAAACTTTACTGGACAACCTTGAAGTCATGCCAGTACCCAGTCTGCTGAGACCAATGCTCAATAGACATTTCAGCACAGGAAGCCTCTTAAATCCCTTCAAAGGAAAATGGGTGTCATGAAAATGTCAAGCCTGGCCTTCTCACTACTTACTCAAAAAGTACTTCCTAAGCGCCTACTTTGAGTCACATCTGGGTCACAGGAAAGTGTGGTGGAAAGTCTGCACATGGCCCAGAAAGCTCCTTCAGCTCCAACATTCAGAACCTGCCTGCCTGCCTTCTGAGTATCCCAAGGGCACTGTCTGACTCTTTCATACCCACCATTTGTCTCCCTGGACTTCTTGCTAAATCCCTGTCTTCACTTCCTCACTTAGGGAATTCATGCCAGCTCTCTGACTTGATCTATGACCCTGCTCATCACTGTAGGAGAAAAAAAAAAAAATACAACCACCTTTCCATGCTGTCAACTTAATTATCCCTCCCACATTTATCTCATGCCTGAAATGTATTACCTAAATGTTGAGTGTGCAGTTCAGGGTAAAACTGACCAACTGGAGCACATCCAAAGAAGAGCAACCATGGTAAAAAGAAGCTACATCATCATGTCTGCTAAGGAAGGCTTGAAATAACTATGAATTTTTATTCTGGAGAAAACGAGACTAAACAAAACCAATAAAAATTACTCAAAAAATATGAAGCGTTGTTATGAAGACAAAGGAAGAGGCACTTTCTAAAGAGACTCAATGTAAACACTGGAAAACATGGCAGCATTTTCTTTAAACAGCATTCAATGATGAAATGGCTACTTGTGGTTCCAGAGGGCTCCCTGTCATTGCGGGGTGGAGGACTAGAGTGTTTAAGAAGAGGCAAGAAGTGTAATTTTTTTGTTCTTTAGTGTGGAGCACAGTGTGGGACACAAAGTAGGTTCTCAACAATTTGAAAGAATGAGTGGGTGAAAATATAAATGCTCAGAAGATATAAAAACTCAGAAGACACTTTGAGAGGGATATTGTTTAATCACTTTATGCATCTGAGAGGGAGCATGACTAGAGGATTTCTGAGGTCCCTGGGACTGGAATTATATAACTCCAAGGCACTGCAACACCTCAAAGGCAAGACACAGTTCAGACAGATCATTTCTCTTAATAATCAGGCATGGGACTATTGCCCAGGAATTTTAAAGACATCTTAAACCTAGTTATTACATATCACAAAACCTCTTGGAATAAATGAGTTTCTCACACTAATAGGTAAATAATTATTTATTTATCCTATAATTGCTTCAAGTTTAAAGAGTGCTCCTCCCTCCTCCTAAATTCTGGGATTTTGTGAGGAATTCTTCCCCTGCCCTACCTATGCGTGTTTCAATTTTTCAGAATTTGATGTTATTCTCATTTCAAGCCTTTTCCATTCAGAAACAGAGGACTCTCTCAGGCAGTCTTCTTCAGAATCCCCTTTCTGCCATTGGTTTAGTCACACTCAGAAAAGTTTGCTCTCAGGCACGGAGACAGGCAGCAAGTGTGGCTAAATGGAAGTCAGGAAACCCACTTCCTGACTCTGGCTCAATTACACTTGCTGGTTGACCAGCAGCAAACCACTGAGTCTTGGTTTTCCATCTGCAAAGTAAGAATGTGCTGATCCCTTCCCATTTATTTCACCAAACTGGCACACATATCAAGGATGCTGACAGGCCAGGAATAATGGATGGAGGCCTCCTTGGGCTAAAGGGACCTGCAAGCTTCTCCAGTAGAACACTCTGCTTATCCTTCCATATGAATGTACAGTATTAATGAAACTTCAGAACTTGGGGGCCAAGCAAACTCAGGTATGGAAGTTTAAGATTTCTATGGATGCAGTAAGTATAAAAGGTTTGGTGTTCAGCAGTTTGAGTTCTGTGATCCTTCACCACTGAAAAGATACCCAGGGCTAGTTTTTAAAAACTCAAACAACCCAATGAAATACTTGTAGTTGGACTTGAAATGACTTTCCTCTTAACACCTTTTACTTTACTAGGTGGCTTCATATGACAGTTTCTTTTTCCAATCAGAACATACTACATTACCCAAGGCACAGAGATTACAAAATAAACATGAGACATTTAAATATATTTCATATTTTTCCGGTATTTAAAATAATTGAAGCCACTATTTCCCTGCAGTCATTTGCTTAATCAATTCCTTCTAGCTAAGCTCTCTCCACTCTAGGGATGAGAAACTGTGATTGGGAAAGTTACACCTTTCTGAATTCAACCAATAGAATCTTGTCTTTAGTAGAAACTGTGGTTCACATCTAAGAATCAGCTACCCATTTTTCAGAATCTCTTTTGGCAGTTGAAGGTGAAGGAGGTGGGTGTTGAACAGTCTCTTTCTAAAACCAAAAGAACTGGTAATTCAGAGAAATACATATACGAAAGTAAATGTTTTTCACAAATCACCTGAAAGGTGAAGTCTGAAAATTGCCCTGCTTTCAAAACCAGTAATGAAATGGAGAAAGTGTTTAAAAACAAAAACGGAAAGAAATAACTCATGAGAGAGCTGGCCTTAACTCTTTCAATGAACTTCCCTGAAAATAACATCCTATAACCACTGTGACATTATAGAAAAAGGAGCAGGAAAAAACTGGTTAAAATAATATAGCATCACTGAACATATCTGTCATCAAAACAAACCACAGTAATATAGTTGACAAAAATTCTGGATTAAGGCTCATTTAGAAAATCCCTTTAAGTAATAAAAGCTTGGTTTAAAATTGAAGTATCAAATTACCTATACATAATTTTAAAAATGAGAACACATTTTTGTTTCATACTCCTTCTAAGCTTTATCAAAAGGCTTTTTCAGATTCTTTAAACAGAGGGTAATACATTAGGCAGGACTAATAATTCACTTCTGTCCAAGCTAAACTTACTTATCCCTAGCCTAGTCCTGAAAGGATCATTAATTTCTGAAATAAATCGTGTATGTAATCATATGAAAAATAACCCAGAGTACAGGCTTTTAAGTAGATTAGTGGTGGTATTTCCTTGCCTTCTCTTATATAAATACATATATTTATAATAGAATATACTAAATGCCCACAATAGCAAGGTGCCTTCACCCAGTTATGACACTCCTGGGCGACCATGTGTCACCTGTACCCTATTCCCTGTCCTGGCTTTAATCTGAAAGTAAACCCTGAAAGGCAACATTTACTCTGCAAATATTTCAGTCTGTCTCTCTACAAGAAAGGAGTGCTAACTTTTTACCTGATGAATCTCAACACATATAACCCTGCTTTAAGGCCAACGACAGGAATGTAAACGTCACCTACATCCTCCTGGGGTCTCCTACAGCTCTTCTGTCTGAAATTCAGGACTTCATATGCTCTGGTAAAGCCTGGCTTAAATAACTACTGAGCCACTAGAAATTCTATCAAATAGTCCTCACCCATTTATGCTCCCTTCAAAGGGGTTCTTTGGGGAGAGAGAAATCTTTTTGTTGTTGCTTTCTATGTTTTGGCTTTTCAATAACCTTACGTAAGGCCCAAGTGCCACAGCCTGGCATACAAGGTCCTTCATGAACTGGCTCCTCCTGCACCCTGGCAGCCTGGCATGCATTGCTGATTACTGCTCCCATGTGCGTGCCTGCATCTTTTCTCTGCCTGGGGTGCCTTCCCTCCCCTGTGTTGGGGTAACTCCACTCATCTGTTCCCCAGACCCCTGAAGGCTTGACAGGAAATGTGTCCTAACAGCTATCCCCTGGCACACTCTGTGAAGGAGATCCTGAGAGGCTTCTGTAGAGGTCCCCGAGATGGGTCAGACTGGGTTTCCAGTCATCCAGATGTGACTCTGGAATCAAGTGCAGAACCAAAGGACTAGAGTCTCCCAAGAACGTAGCCACAATCATGTCCCTTTCATGGTGCACATCTGTCAGGGCCGACAATGTTTAGAAACAGCACACTGCTCAGCAAATGCCCATCCAGCCCTGCCTGCTTCTCACCGAAGCAGCTCCTGGCCTACATGTTTATAGTGGCGAGGCATGTCCTAAACAGCCAACATCCTCTGAAGGACAGAAAAATGAAGTCAGCTCATGCCTTACAACTGTGATCTTTCCAGCAGGAAAATAAATCCTTGCTAGGATCTTTTCCCAGTGGTAAATTTGTGATGTGCCAGCTAGAAAACCAGACTTCTCCCACAGGTTTCTCTGCCCAACTGAGAGAGACCAGAACTCCACTCTTTCCAAAATAGAAGGGTTTTTCCCCTCCCATTCTCCTCCCCTCACCACCATGTTTGTTGAATCAACAGGACAGCCAGAAAGGCCAAAAGTACCACAGTCTGGATAAAAGGTGGTCCCAGGATGGCAAGTCAAAGGAAGCGGAGATAGCAAAAAGCCATTTTGTCTTCCCAATAAAAACATATTGGCATAGCTGCTGCCCTGGGGGACCAATTTACTGTGCTTCTACATGGTATGAAATGTGCTCCCTGTGTCACAGTGTCAACATCATACACATTTTACTCATTTCTGGTTCCCATTTAGCAAACTGTCCAAAGGGAAGGAGATTACATTGATGTTCTGAATTGAAAAGAATTATTATTATTTGGCCTATTTGTTAATCTACAGTAAGGACAGCAAGGATGTTAGAGAGAACAATTGATAATGATTAACCTCCACTTAAAATCTGGCCATCACATGTACAATTGCCTTGTTCAGCCTTACATTCTTTCTAATGATTTGGTCTTACAAGACAAATATAGGTCTAATGAAAAGTCTAGATCTGTATATTTTTCACAGTAATGATCTTATATTGTTACACTATGAAGATTGCGAAAAGACAACCATTACGACGAAGAAAAAAATATTTCAAAACACTCAATTACAGAATCACATTCTGGAATAAAAGGAAACTTCCACTTCTGACTCTCAATCGCGGCTCCAATCCATGTGCTAAGGCTGTGCTGGGGTCAGAACTCTGGGTTCCCAGGCCCCAAGCCTCCACAGCAAGCTCCTAGTAGGGGAAAAAAAGGCAAAGTCTTCTGTCTGCTGTGAAGTCATACATATGAATGCTGGTTGCAAATGAGGAAAGAAATGAGTTTGTGTCATTGAGGTAGGAAGGGTAGGTACGTGTGATTGTGTATGACTGTGTGTGTGTATGTGTGCGTAAGTATAAGATTGAGGGTGTGTAAAGGGATAAGTGACTGTGTGTAGTTGTGTGCCTGAGTATGAGTGAATGCACACGAGGGAGGATGTGTGTGAGTAAATGTATGAGTGATTGTGTATGTGAGTGTGTGTACATGGGTAATGGTGTGGCTCATTGTGTAAGTGAAGCTGTGTGTAATTGTGTGTATAAGTGAGGGTGTGGAGATTGTGTGAGAGGATGTACGTGTGATTGTGTGTCAGGGTGTGAGTGTATGTGTGGGTGTATGAGTGTGGGTATGAGTGTGTGTGAATGAAGTGATTGTCAGGGTGTGATTGTGTGTGAGTGTGGATGTGATTGTGTGAGTGTTATTGTGTGAGGGTGTGAGTGATTATGTGTATGTGTGTGAATGATGGTTGAGTGATTTCATGGGAGTGTGGGTGTGAGTGATTGCCCGGCCCAGGCAATAATTTCAAATAACAGTTCTCCCTTTCCCCCACTCTCTTTCTTTCTGTCTTTGCTTTTCCTCAGTTCACTTGGGTATGTCTGACGGGATAAATAGTCAAAATTTTATGATCTCCCAAGTAGAAATAAAATGATTCAGTCAGTGGGGCAGGCAGCAAACAAGGCTATTAGATATAAAGAACAAAATCATTAAGCTAATGTCACAGCTGATTAGCAAACAAAGATAGACAGGAAGACACAGATGGGGAAATAGAGCCTTCCAAACAGTCATCTCTTCACATTCTCCTTCCTGATTTTTTTTCAGTCTTAAAATCCCTTGCCTGTAGCTCTGTCACTTCCCACCTTCTCCACCTCTCAGTTCACAGGTCACCCTCTCCCCTGCTCTCTGGCCGTTGGTTACCAGATGCTGATCCAGCCAAAGTGTGGCAGGCAGTCCCACCCCAGGGAGCTGCGGTGCTGCCTTCTCTTTGACTTAGGCAGTGAGTAAGTCTGCTTTGCCAAATGACCTTGCCCAAAGGGATCCATCTAGAAGCCTGAAGCTAGACAGAATTTTTGCATCATAGCTATTTTTCGGGAGCAGGCAGAAGTCACTGGGCAGAACCTTTCAAGCTGCAGGGCTCACAGTTGTAGAAAAAATAGGTCTTTTCAGGGCTTGCCTCCAAAACCCTTAACAGAGTTCAATTTGCTTCAAGGATAATCAGCTTTTTCTGAAAAAACATTTTTTCGGTGTATAATATAAAACATGACCAAAGGATCTTACTGTACCATGCCATTTATTTGAATATGCCCCATTTATGAGGAACTTGAGAGGTAGAAAAGATGATGCTTTGAAATATTCTTGTTGACTTCAGCAATGCTGCCTGATCATAGAGTTAATTAGGAAAACTCAAAGTTTCAAAGAAAACAATCCACCTCTTCACCTTCTGCACAGGCCAGGTGACAGCTTGTCAAAGATTGGACAGTTGCAGAAAGACTCGTTTCAATTATGGCTATTCTTAGCAGATGTTTCAATATGAACAATGATATGCAAGTGTGAAACAGCCTTCTAGTGCTGAAAGCTTCCAGCTGCCTCCAGGAACTGGAGTCCAAGGTCTAGGACGTGTGTGAGGCAGTGTTGATGAGCAGGCACAAAAAGGTGAAAAGTAGGCATTGGACCTGTGATGTCCCATAGGATAGATGCTAACTACATGCACCTCTTCATGCTTAAATGGATTAAACTTTAATAAAGTTAAAACCTGAGTTCCTCAGTTTCTCTAGCCACATTTCAAGTGCAATAATCACATGTGTCTAGCGACTTACTATATTTAACAAAGCAGATATACCCCATTTCCATCAATGCAAAAAGTTCTATTGGACAGTAACACTTTCAACAAATGGCTTTTTAATAGTTTTAAGCAGCTTTATTGAAGTGTAATTGACATACAATAAGCCATACACATTTAAAGTATATGCCCTGATACATTGTAACACACGGATACACCTATGAAATTAAATCCAGATTATGAATGTACTCTGTCACCCCCAGATATTTCTCTGACCCCTATTTGCAATCCCAGCTCCTTAACCCCAATCCCTAGCAATCACTGATCTTCTTTGCCACCACAGAACTCTGCATTTTCTAGTATTTTATACAGAATATATGGAATCATCCAACTGTACTCCTTTTCATCGGATTTCTTGCATAAATATTTTGAGACTGAGCATAATTACTTTGAGATTTATTAATGTAGTTGTGTGTGCCAGTAGTTTACTCCTTTTTCTTGCCATATACTGTTCCATCATATGGATACACTATCGTTTTTTTAGGCAGACACCTTTTGGTGAATGTTTGAGTTGTTTCCAGTTTGGATGATGCTCTGGATGTCACATATAAAGATGTCAAGGGACTCTTTCAAATAATGATCAGGAAGGCCTTTTTATAAGGTGGCATTGGAGCAGAGTGCAAAGGAAGCGAGGCAGAGAGCCATGAGAAAATCTGGGGATAGTGTACTCTGAACTGAGGGGACTCTAACACAAAGGTCATGGGATGGAAGTGTGCCTGGCAGGTTCAAAGGACAGCTCTCTGTGTTCCTTCTAAAGGCTGCTTATATGAAAGGATAGGCACCCAGGCAAAACTATTTCGGAGAATCAGAAGGTACTAAGTCAAATGGCCTGAATAAACCACCAAATGGCACAGGCCATTTCATCTCATTTAATCCTTACAGTTACTCTGAGAAGTAGGTGCTGTGACCCCCATTTTGCAGACGTGGGAACAAAGAGGGGGTTGGGCCATCCACTTTGCCTCCAAATCACACAACTATTATTATCAGAGTTGGCTGAGAACTCTGAAGCCAGAGCTCTCCCTGTCAGTTCATTATTAAAGATGGTTGGACTTAAAAAGAGCCTTCTGCCTTCACAGGGCAAGATGGCTTACATTTCCCATGAGGTCAGATCAGGATAAGCTGGGGCTGGGTACCTGCTGCCGTCCCAAGTGCTATCTCCATCAAAAAGTCCTATTCTCTTTACACAAAGTAGTTCATCAGATATGTATGAGGGAGCTTTAAACAGGCAAACCATCACGGCCACTTTCATTTTTGGTGTAAGTGAAGAGACTTCCCCTGGGCTATAGACAGTGTGGCCTTAAAGTCTAGTACACACATGTAAACACATGCACATGAAAACACTTTCACACATGCATACATGCACATGAACATGCATGCACATGCATACATGCACATGAACATGCATGCACATGCATGCACACACGAACACACACACTCCTGCCTATGCACTCTCACAGAGGGCCCTCCTGAACAGCCCTGTCTGTGGCAGCAGAGTTGTTGATAGTGTAACTAAAAAGGAAAGTGGGGAAGTCCATGCTGATCTTGACTGTTTAACACAAACTGAAAGATCAAAACCAAGGAGCTGCCAAAAACACATTGGCAACTTTCACACCAGAACAAGAAAGGAAATCACTGACTTGGTTTCTGCTCTTAATGTTGCTTCTCTTGCAGTCAAATGCTCTCGTCTTTCAGGCTCTAAGTGGAGAGAAAATTGGGCCCTCAACCAGTCTCCACTAGAATAAATGATCAGTCATACATGTCAGGAAGCTACCTACAACCATGTTGACACCTGCTGAAAGCTGGTTCTGAGACCTGGGGAGCAGCACCAGAGAACCCAGGACTCAGGCACCTATAACTCAGGCACCTATACTTCTATTTTTTTGTTTTTTGTTTTGTTTTGAGTCAGGGTCTCGCTGTGTCACCCAGGCAGAAGTGTAGTGGCATGACCACAGCTCACTGCAGCCTCAACTTCCTGGGCTCGAGTGATTCTGCTACCTTGGTCTCCCAAAGTTCTGGGACTACAGACGTGACCACTGCACTTGGCCAACTCATGACTACTTCTAAAACCCATATGATGGTGAAACATTTACTGAAATGTTTAATGAAAGATTTTTCATGTTACCTCCAAAAATCCAAATTTAGAAAGTATTTGCTCTGGACTCAGACCTTCGGCACCCTAAGTGTCTATTTCATCAAGGATAAGAGTCAGAAGCACTTGACCCAGGCTGTCCTCCAGGCACTGGTTCTCAGTGTGGCTCCTAACCAGCAAGGCCAGCATTACTAGGAAACACGTAAGAAATGCAAAATCTTGGGACTTATCCCAGATCTGTAGAATCAGAAACTCTTCGGGAGCTTAATAGGTGTGGGCTATTAAGCTTAATAGGTGGTGCTGATGCCTATTATAACCTTAATAGGTGGTGCTGATGCCCTCCACCTGGAGAACCACAACTCTGTAGGGAAGGTGTGGAGGCCAGGACTGTGCATTTCTAACAACTTCTGGGTGCTGCGGGTGCTGCTGGCCCAGAGGCTGCACTTTGAGAATTTCTGATCCTGAGCAGTGCTTCTCAAGCTTCCCTATGCCCACTGTCGCCTGGGCTCTTACTGAAGATTTTGGCTCAGCAGGCCTAAGGAGGCTGATTTTCTAAGAAGCCCCAGGAAATTCCAGTGATGCTCTCCAGGTGCAAGCCTGGGGTGCTGGTGAAGCAAACCTCATCCAAGCGTTTGCAAGCTAGAACCTGGAATATGTGGGCACTGATGTGAGTACCAGTTTTCAGATTTTAAGTAATAATTAACAAACAGCTGAAAGTTCCCAAGAAAAGGGATTGTACACAAGCATGCATTGAACTGATCTTTATAAGTTTGCTGACAATTCCATCAGTGACACAGGACAAAGAGACTCAGGGTCTCCACAGCTCACAGCCCCCTGTCTTCCTTCCCATCAACCTCTTCCAGCTTCCAGCTCCTTCCTTGGGGCCCAGAAACAGACTCAAGCCCCTCTCACCCTAGAAACTCTTCCCATATGGCTTTTCTCTTCGGTTATCGTTCTTAGAATAGTGAACATCTGTGGTCCCTATGCTTTCACCTGCAGCTGCTCTTCTGCCTTTAAGAAAGTCTGGGAAAACATCCCTGCCACCTCACAGGCACCCAAGCCAACAGGGCTGCTCTTCTGCACCCCTGCTGTGCATGCAGCCCCCTACCTCCTTCATTCACATTCTCATCTATTACAGCCCCTCCACCCCATATCTACACCCCCCTACAGCCCTTCACCTCATATCTAATCCCCCTTATAGCCCCTCAACCTCATACCTACACCCAGACTATAGCCTGTCCACCCCATGTCTACATTCTCATTAAAGCCCCTCCATGCCATATCTACACCCCCAGTACAGCCTCTTCAATTGGAATCTACATGCTTACTACAGCCTCTCCACCCTGTATGTACATCCCCACTACAGCCCCTTCACACAGCATCTTGTAGGTTTGGCAATTATTTTTAAAAGTTTGAGATCTGCTACATTGTGGCAGTTGTCCTTTCAATAGCCAGCAACTGAAAAACACACAATGATAAAAACAAAAACAAACTCTGCTTTAGTTTTATTAATACTTTCAAACAGAAATCACATGTCCAACATAGATTTGAGCAGTTGTCAAGACATTTGTTTCTAAACCTTGCAAGCATGCTTGTGTGCAGTAGACCCTTGCAACAGTGCTATCCCCTCCACCCCCAGGGATCCAGGGAACCAGGACCCAAGGCCTGGGATAGGGAGTCACTGCTCCCTGCTTCCATTGCTGCACCCTTAGGGCTCTGTGGGCTACCGGTGGTCATCATGGCATACGCTGTGTTCTGATAAAGGCATCTGTGTCTCCCACCCAGGCAGGAGTTACCAGAGCTCTCTGCCCCATTACAGTACCAGCATGTGAACAGCACCCAGCAAGCATGCAGTCCTTGTGTCTGTGAGCTCTCCCTCCCATGTCCAAGGCCTTACTACTCGATTTTTGCCCACTGTGGGGTTTCCCACTTTCTCTAACCTCTAGAAGTTGCTGGACTGTGTGGCTTACAATGACATAGCATTGCCCCAACCCCAAAAAGAAATAGTATCAAAGTCCATTGTAAACCTATTAATTACACAGCTGTGCTACAACCAAAACATGGATCTCTGACATCAGCCTTATAGTTCTTCATTGTCTTGATCAAACTAAGAATATGCTTTCATCTTTGGTTAGAGATTTGTGAGTATAGGGAGTAGCTTAATGTTTATCTCTTTTGAGTCTTAGACAAGGAATTTCTAGCTATAAATAAGGCCATAATAAAACCTAAGTGGTAGAGGTTTCTAGGTGCCTGAAGTGACTGTCCGCAAGTTTATCCATGTATTCTCTCTCTCCTCCTATTGAAGTGCCCTAGCCCTCAAGTCCTCCTCGGACAGAGCTTTTGGACTCCTAATTTGCACACAAGTCTAACAAGCCACATCATCTTGCTTTTCAGTTCATAGCACTGTGAAACGAGACATTAGAGGCAAGCACTGATAGCAGTAAAAAGGACAACCATTAGGAAAAAGTCAGAATATTAGCAAGCAAATGTCACAAATGGAAGTCAAATAGTCCAGGACTAATCTAAGGGCAGATATTCCCGTATACCACAAGCCATTGAGGATGTGTCTAGATTTCAGCACAGTTCATTAGTTTATGCCCAAAATAGTGACTTAAATCTTCCTCCCAAAAAGATGAAGCTATGATTATTGCTTCTGTTTAATTTTAAAAAGTAGGACATTTAAAAATACAACACATTTTCAAGAAAAGAAAAGAAAGTCTATGGAAGTGCTGAGGGTGAGAACCTCTGGTAGCAAGATCTCTATATTGAGTGATGAGACAAGCTTTATTAATAAGAAGAATCAGCTCATACTTAACCTAAGCCTGACAGTGCTGGGCAGAGAGTCCTGCTGTACCACCACCAGTGGAGCCAGGTAAGGATGCCTCTCTGCTAGAAACAGCACATATGGACGAAGCCACAAGCTATGGCTCATCCCAACAGAATCTTACTAGCTCCCTAGTAAGGTTAGCTATAATGTCTTCTAACTCACATCATTTGTATTAAAAAAAGAAAGAAACAAATGGTAACTGATACACATGTTGGTTGGTAGAGCTTTCAGATTCCTCTTTCGATATGGGTGAGGGAAAATTCCTCAGCCCAAGGTTACCTTGGATTTCACACTCCAACTCCATCCTCAGCTCAGCACTGCTGGTCATTGCTTTTAATGGATGCTGGTCTTCAGGTAGAGTGGGTTCTGCAGACTATAAGGACATCTTTCAGTAACAACCCTCTAACATCAAAGACCTTTCAGAGATCTGCCCTGCATAGCAGTCTTTCATTAGAAAGTCACTTCTCACACCGGGGCCTGTTGTGGGGTGGGGGAGGGGGGAGGGATAGCATTAGGAGATATACCTAACGCTAAATGACGAGTTAATGGGTGCAGCACACCAACATGGCACATGTATACATATGTAACAAGCCTTCACGTTGTGCACATGTACCCTAAAACTTAGAGTATAATAATAATAAAATTTAAAAAAAAAAGAGAAGAAAAGAAAGTCACTTCTCAGCACAGAGGCAGCCCTTGGAGTCTTTCCGGGATTTTCACATCCAGCTGGGAAAAGGAAAAGAACTCCTGAAACTGGGCTGACTTCATAACCAGTTTAATTTCACACATGCCATATTTCTGAAGGCACCTTGTTTTTCCCTTCATCCTGCATCACTGCAGAGAAAATTCACAGACTTCCTGAAGGTGAGAATCTCACCCATTAGTAAGAAAATCACACTTTATATATTAAGTTGGCCTTTCCCTGGAGATCTCCTAACTGCTTTATAAACATTCTTTCACACCTCCAAGCAGGTAGGTGGCAATTGTCATTCTTTCTGGACAAGAGGTAGCATTGTGAATCTTAGCCCAACTGAGCTGAAATGTTGTTTAAATGTCTGAGGTAAAGCAAAAGGAAGGTTTGGAAAATATGAGCTAGGATAAATGTGGCCAAAAATAGGAAGAACAATGGCATATAAAATTCCAAAAAAGAATTCTCCTATAATCAGCTCACTTTCTGCCCAGCTTCCTAAAAGCCACGTCTTGGCCTTCCTCTTGTTGTGCAGCTTCCACACTGACACTGACCTGGAAAATCAGGTGAGGTGAGTGCTAATTTTGGCTCAAATAAGAAATTTTCTCTCTCTTTGATCTTTGTCAGGAAACAGGATCAACAATCTGAATTCCATCAAGTTCAAGCTGAAACTAAAGTAACACACATGTACTTTAAGCTACATGTGTGTTACTAACATGTATGTTACTTTAGTTTGAGCGCTCCCGAGAAGCAGGGACTCCATGGCAAGACTCCATGGTGGCGCCAAGACAAGTGGTTGACTGGCCGGCAGCACAAGGCAGAGACCACAGCTCAGACCTATCCCCATTGGCTGCAGATTACCCAGTGCCAGGGACCCACTCCAGACATAGGTCAAGGACGAGTAGACCCTGAGGCCTGGCAGCAGGCACACTTGAGGCTCAAGGGAAGCCCTGCCATCCCGCACCAGTGCCTGAGCTACAACTGCCACCTACACCTTGCTCATGGGCAGTGGTGGCCAGACCATCCCAAATGCCTCTCTTCCCGTCGGGGCTCCAGCTGTGCAGACTTCTGGGCCAGACGCAGCTGCACAGTCTAAGTCATCCCTGCAGCTGCAGGAGGGCAGGAAACTGTTGCTTATTACCATCCCAGCTGCTTCACCGCTCACAGTGCCTGAGACCCAGGGCTCTGGCGCAGGGGCCAAGGGAGATCAGGCCCTAGGGTGGGAGACCAGGGCACTCAGCGACCCTCAGACCCTCTGGGACCTGCCCTGCCAGCCTCCACCTTGGGCTTAGCTGCAGCTGCCACCTGCTGCACATGGCGCCTGCACATGGCGCCTGCAGCTGCACATGGCGCCTGGCAGCAGCGGGGGCAACACTCAACACTGCCAGGGCCACCAGCAGCGAGTACCCCAGGGCCAGACGTCGCCACAGCGACTAATTTAGACTTTTGGCCCCACAGCTAAAGAAGGGCAGGTACCAGATGCTCAGCCTCATCCTGGCGGCTGCACAATGCCCAGCTCTGAGGACCCTGCACTCTGGGCACCGGCTAAGAAAGAACAGACCCTAGGGTGGGAGGGCAAAGCACTCAGTGATCCTCTGGACATCTGGGACCAGCCCTGCCAGCATCCGAAGTGGGTTCAGCTGCAGCTGCCACCTGCATATGACGCACAGCAGTAGCGATGGCTAACCTGACCCTGCCCACCATCACAAGCAGCAGGAACCCGAGGGCCAGACACCTCTGTGGCGCCTAAGTCAGGCTGTCGGCCCCACAACTGCAGGAGGGCGGGAACCGGCCACCAAGCCCCTTCCAGGTGGCTGCAGAGTGCCCAGCGCCGGGGACACTGTGCTCTGGGCCTGGGCCAAGGAAGAGCAGACCCTAGTGCGGGAAGGCGCTGCACTCTGCGACCTTCAAGTCATCTGTGCCCATCCCTGACAGCCTCCGCTGTGGCCTCAACTGTAGCTAACACCTGCACATGGCGCCCAAAATCAGCAGTGGCAACCCTCAACCCTTTGTGCAGCCAGCAGGGAGGACCGCAGGGCCAGAGGAGGCCGCTGAGCCTAAATCAGGCAGTCCGCCCAGCAGCTGCAGGAAGGAGGTAACAGGCCTCTCAGCCCCATCCAGGCGGCTGCTGCACAGTGCCCAGCGCCCACTACCTAGCTCTGTAAGCGCAGGCCAAGGCAGAGTGGACCCTAGGGAGGAGGGAGGGCAGTACGCTCGGCGACCCTTGGGTGCACTTGACTGTACTCGGGGACAAGCCCGGCCAGCCACTATGGTGGGCTCAGCTGCAGCTGCCACCTGCACATGGTGCGCTCCAGCCGCAGTGGCAACCCACGGCCCTGCCGGCGCCACCAGCAGCGCGGACCCCAGGGCCAGACTCTGTGAAGACGCCCAGTTTAGGCGGCCCCCACTCCCGCATCTGCAGGAGTGAGGGAACCTGCTCTCAGCCCAACCCCGGGGCTTCAGAGTGCCCAGCGCCCACGACTCCGTGCTCTGGGCGCGAATCAAGAAAAAGTGGACCCTTGGGTGGGAGGGCGGTGCACTCGGAGACCCTGAGGCCCTCTGGGGCCAGCCCTGTCATCCTTTGCCTTAGGCTCAGCTGTAGCTGTCACCTGCACATAGTGCGCTGTAGTAGTGGAGGCAACTGCCGACCCTGCTGCCACCACCAGCACGGGGACCCCGCGGCCAGGCAGCCACGCGCCGAAGCCCGCAGCACAGCTGCAGCAGGGTGGCCGTTCAGCCCCTTCCTGGCGGCTGCATAGTACCCAGCGCCCGCGACCACGCGCTCAGGGCGCGAGCTATGGAAGAGCGAGCCCTAGGGCGGGAGGGTGGTGCACTTGGCGACTCTCAGGAGGTCTGGGACCAGCCCTGCCAGCTTCCACCGTGGGCTCAGCTATTGCTGCCATCTGCACATGCCCCACGGCAGCACCTGTGGCAAATCCCGACCTTGCCCGCCCCACTAGCAGCGCGGTCCCCAAGGTCAGACACCGCCACTGTGCCTGATTTGGGTAGTCTGTTCCGCAGCTGCAGGAGGGCGGGAACCGGCCCTCATCCCCATCGCGATGGCTGCAAAGAGTCCAGCGCCCTGGGCCCAGAGCTCTGGACTGGGGCCAAGGAAGAGCGGATCCCACGGTGTGAGGGCAGTGAACTTGGCGAAACTCAGGACGTCTGGGCTAGCCCTGCCAGCCTCCGCCCTGAACTTATGTGCAGTTACCACCTGCACATGGCACGGGGCCGCGGGAGTGGCAACCCCCAACTCGGCCAGCAGCCACCAGCAGCATAGACTCCAGGACCATACGCTGCCATGACCCCTCGGTTAGGCAGTCAGCCCCGTAGCCGCAGGAGGGCGGGAATCGGCGCTCAGCCAAACCCCATGGCTGCACAATGCCCACGGCCTGCGAGTCCGCGCTTCTGCACCGGCCAAAGAAGAGCAGGTACTGCGGCAGCAGCGGTGGCAACCCCCGACCCTGCCTGTCAGGCGGTCGGCCCAATAGCTGCAGGAGGGCGGGAACCGACTGCTGAGCCCCAACCCAGCGGCTGAGCAGTGCCCAACGCTCGTGACCCCATGCTTGGGGCGCGGGCCAAGAAAGAGCCGAACTTATTGTGGGAGGGCTGAGCACTCGGCCTCCTTCAGGCCATCTGGGACCAGCCATGCCAGACACCGCCGTGGGGTCATTTGCAGCAGCCACCTGCACATGGCGGACAGCCGCAAAGCTGGCAACCCCTGACCTTGCAGGCATCACCAGCTGCAGGGACCGCAGGGCCAGATGCCTTCTAGGCGCCTAATTCAGGCGGTCGGCCTCGCAGCTGCAGCAGGGCTAGAACTGGCGTTCAGCCCCATTCCTGTGGCTGCTCAAAGCCCAGCACCCGCGACCTAGCAATATGGGCGGGGGGCCAAGAAAGAGCGGACCCTAGGTTGGGGCGCTGAGCACTCGGCGACCCTCAGGCCATCTGGGTCCATTCCTGCCAGCCTCTGCCATGGGTTCAGCTGCAGCCGCCACCTGAATATGGCGGGGTCAGCAACTGGGGCAACCCGGGCTATTTCCGTGACTACTATCGCGGTCCACAGGGCCAGACGCTGCCGTGGCGCCTAAGTCACGCAGTTGCAACCGCAGCTGCAGGAGGGTGGAAACCAGTGCCCAGTCCCATCCTGGTGGCTGCAGAGTGCCCAGCTCCAGGGACCCCCAACTTTGGGCGCGGGTCGAGCAGGAGCAGTGGACTGGGGCTGCGCAGTCACCTGGGGCCTGGGGCAGACCGCACCATGAGCTCAGTTTGGTGGTCGGCGCCTCAGCTGCAGCTGCCACCTGCATGCTGTGCCCACGAGAGCGCGACTCAGGGCGGTTTCTGGCCACGCGCAGTTTGTGGCCACGCGCGGGGCCATTACCTTCCGAGGTGCCAGTGCGCGCTGGGGCCCAATGGCTCTGCTCCGTATATTTCTTCTCCGAGAGTTTGGAGACGTCCCTCTCAGAGAAGCTGGAGGGTCCCTGTCTGAGGTCTGGGCCAGACCGTCTTGCTTTATGGTGCTGGTCAGGGTGGGGGCTGGGCGGCGGGAAGGGCGAGGGCTAGTTGTGGCGTCTCTGAAGCCGATAGCCGGGCCATGAAGAAGATCTTGGCTGTGGAGAGCCAGAAGGGCCAGGTGCCCCTGAGCTCCTGGAATAACCGCATCTTTTCTGACCCCTGGTACCAGACCCCAGATGAGGATCTGGAATATCCACAAAGCTGCGTCCAGGGGAACGCGTGGAAGCTGCAGCGGAGCCTCCTGCTCAAGAGAAAAGGCCAGTCTGAAACCTACAAGAAGAACATGTGTCGGGAACTGCGGGCTGTGGGCTGGGGGCTACTGGAGGAGGTGGGCAGGTGGGGAGAAGCACCCCCTTCAGAGCTGGGGGCTTGGGGAGTGGGGGCGAGGGGAGGCTTGGAAAGAATGGAGTGTGTGGGGCGGGCCGTCCTGGTCCCCAGGGCGCTGGGCTTTCTTCCCTGGCAGACTCCGCAGCGCCTGAGATGTGGACGCCTTGGAGGCGGAGGGCCCAAGTCATCTTTATGAGCAGCAAAAGAAACCCAAAACTTTAGCTGGTTTCTCCACCCACAGTTCCTCTTACAGAGCACTTCAGAGAGAATTTTAAAGCGGTATAACAAAATTAAGTATATACTGTGTTTTATTTTTAATGTACACATTTTAAAAGATAATATTAGATACATTATAGAAAGGAACGTAATGAAAGAAATAATTCCCATAATATATCACCTTCTGGGCTAAAAATTCTTTGGCTAAAATCCAATATTTATTTTATATTAATGAATGCCTACATAAATATGTTCTTTACTGAGGGAGCTTAGAAGGACACTTTGAAGTGGGAAGATGGTTCATGTTCTTGAATAAGAAGACTCATTTTTCTCAAGATGTGAGCTCTTTATCAATTTTACATAAACCAAATAAAGCTATCAAAATTTTTAACGTTTTTGAATTACACATGCTTTCACTATTGTGATGACATTAAGAAAATTTTTGTAACGGTTAAAAAAGTCTTACCTTTCTAGATATCAAATGTGCTATTGATTTCCACAAATAGTTTGCTAACAGCTGAAAAGATAGATAAATGAATACAAGAGAATAGAAAATCCAGGGACACTCAAATATATGTAAGAATTCAGAACTTGATAATGGTGATACTTTGTACTAGTAGGAAAAGATGAATTATTTTCATTAATGAAAGGCCTGCTTTTTGGAGGAAACTAGCTAGATTTTTATGCCACAAAAATAAGTTCCTCATACAATATAGACTGAAAATTTTAAATATGTAAGATGAGAGAAACATCAGAAGAAAACACAAATGCCTTATTTATACAGAAGCATTTTTGTGTTGACAAAAACCTGTCTAAGAAGCTCACAAGCAAGCCTTCTGAAGGTTGATCTAGCAAAATAAAATTAAATCACCCTATAATAACAAAAAATAACAAAACATAAGGTAACATAAAATATTTACCATATGTGTATACATATTAGATTAAATATGGATTTTCATTTTACAGAGAATTATTTCAAATCAGCCTGAAACAAAAAAGACTCTAATTTAACATTGAGCAAAGCAGTTCTTTCAGATCTGCAAGTGACCTATGCTCATAGGAAAAAATATTTTGTGTTCTTGGTAAGAGAAGGAATTTAAAAGAGGTATAAAATATTGTTTTCTGTCCACAAATTTTGTGAAGATGAAAAACAGTGATATTATACTGCTGCTTAAAGTTGCTGATGGCCTTTCAAATGGACAATTTGGTGGTAAGCATTACATTTTTAAAATGTATATTCCTTTTCTGATCAATTCCATTATACTAAAATCTGTTTAGAAGACAATGAGAGATACATGCGATTTCATAATTTGAAGGTCTTGAATTCCAGTGTTTTTATAGTTTGGGGTTTTACAATAAGTCTTTAATCTATTTTGAGTTAATTTTTGTATATGATGTAAGGAAGGGGTCTAGTTTCAATCTTCTGCATATGGTCAGCCAGTTATCCCAGCAACATTTATTGAATAGGGAATCCTTTCCCCATTGCTTGTTTTTGTCAGGTTTGGCAAAGATCAGATAGTTGTAGGTATGTGTACTTATTTCTGAGTTCTCTATTTTGTTCCATTGGCCTGTGTTTCTGTTTTTGTACCAGTACTATGCTTTGGTTACTGTAGCCCTGTAGTGTAGTTTGAAGTCAGGCAGCATGATGCCTTCAGCTTTGTTCTTTTTGGTTAGGATTGGCTTGACTATTTGGGCTCTTTTTTGGTTCTATATAGATTTTAAAATATTTTTTTCTAGTTCAGTGAAGAGTCTCAATGGTAGTTTAATAGTAAAAGCATTGAATCTATAAATTGCTTTTGGCAGTATGGCCATTTTAATGATATTGATTCTTCCTATGCATGAGCATGGAATATTTTTCCATTTGTTTTTGTCATCTTTGATTTCTTTGAGCAGTGCCTTGTAGTTTTCCTTGCAGATACCTTTCACCTCCCTAGTTAGCTGTATTCCTAGGTATCTTATTCTTTTGGTGGCAATTGTGAATGTGAGTTCATTCCTGATTTGGCTCTTAGCTTGACTGTTGTTGCATCTCAGGGATAAAGCCTACTTGCTTTTGGTGGATAAGCTTTTTGACGTTCTGCTAGATTCAGTTTGCCAGTATTTTGTTGAGAATGTTTGCATTGACATTCATCAAGGATACTAGCCGAAGTTTTCTTTTTTCTTTTTGTTATCTCTGCCAGGTTTTGGTATCAGGATGATGAGTTAAGGAGGATTTTTCTCCTCCTCAATTGTTTGGAATACTTTCAGTAGGTATGATGCCAGCTCTTCTTTGTACAACTGATAGAATTCAGCTGTGAATTCATCTATTCCTGGGCTTTTTTTACTTAGTAGGCTATTTATTACTTCCTCAATTTTAGAGCTTGTTTTTGGTCCATTAAAGGATTTAATTTCTTTCTGTTCAGCCTTGGAAGGGTGTATATGTCCAGGAATGTATCCATTTCTTTTAGATTTTTTAGTTCATGTGCAAAGAGGTGTTCATAATATTCTCTGATCATTGTTTGCATTTTTTGGGGGTAAGTGTTAATATCCCCTTTGTTTTTGATTGTGTTTATTCAAATCTTATCTCTTTTATTCTTTATTAGACTAGCTAGCAAGTCTGTCTATTTTATTAACTTTTTCGAGAAAGTATCTCCTGGATTTTTTTATCTTTTGAAAGATTTTTTATGTCATTATCTTCTTCAGTTCAGCTCTGATTTTGGTTTCTTGTCTTCTGCTAGCATTAGGATTTGTTCACCCTTGGTTCTCTAGCTCTTTTAGTTGTGATGTTAAGTTGTTGACTCGAGATCTTTCTAGCTTTTTGATGTGGGCATTTCATTTCCCTCTTTGTGGGCTATAAATTTCCCTCTTTACACTACCTTAGCTGTGTCCCAGAGATTCTGGTAGGTTGCATCTTTGTTCTCATTAGTTTCAAAGAACTTCTTGCATTCTTCCTTAATTTCAGTATTTACCCTATGTTCACTCAAGAGCAGGTTATTCAGTTTTCACGTAATGATGCAGTTTTGAGTGAATTTCTTAGTCTTAATTTCTAATTAGATTGTGATGTGGTTCAAGAGACTTTTTGTTATGATTTCAGATCTTTTGCATTTGTTGAGAACAAACCTAGATTTTACCTACAAAATGCATAGGTGATATCAGTGACAGGCATTGAAACTGATTTTGTCCAGTTCTTGATTCACTGTGAGCAATTAATGGCAAAACGAATCCAGGAGGCACTTTTTGATTTGGGGTGCTTGGTTTTTTAAGGGCTAGAGTAGCTTAGCCTTTATATATATATACATATTTATCATGTATTTTTATGGTAATATAAATATATATGTGTTATATATTTATATTTAAACATATTTATAAGATTGACTATATTAACTTACTCTGTTTTCTGTTGCTATAACTGAATACCTGAGACTAAGTGATTTATAAATAAATTTATTTCTTACAGCTCTGATGGCTGGGAAGTCCAAGGTTACAGGGCTTATCTGGTGAGGATCTTTTCCCTGGTGGGGACTCTACAGAGTCTCAGGGTAGTGCTGGGTATTACTTGGTGGTGGCCTCACAAGAGACAACCAGGAATGAATTAATCCATTCATAAGGGCTTGGCCTCCCAAAGGTTCTACCTCTCAAAAGTTCTCCCTCTCAAAGTTTCTACTAGTCACTTCCCAAAGGTTCTACCAGTCACTTCGCAAAGGTTCTACCTCTCAACACTGCTACCTTGGGGGACAAAGTTTTCAACACATGAACTTTTGGGGAACACATTCAAACCATATCACCACTTTAGCTGTCTTGGCTACTATCTGCACCTTTTATGTTCAACCCATGTATATCTTTGAATCTATTGTGTGTCTCTTATAAATAATATATATAGTTGGATCACATTTTTCTTATCAGTCTGACAATCTCTGCCTTTTGATTGTATTGTTTAATCCATTCACATTTAATGTTACTATGATATGCTTGGATTTACTTCTATTTTCCTTTTTATTTTTAACGTTTCATGTATTTTTTAATTCTTTTATTCCTTCTTTACTGCTTTTTCATCAAGTGAATATTTAAAAAGTTAACGAAACTCAAAGATTCTTGTACTTAGGAGAATGGATGTTTTTATACTTTTTTGGTAAACGTACATCACATATAATACTACCTTCCTGGCCTACTTCACAGAATGATGTGGAAATCAGTGAGACAGTATGAGACAGAGACTGAGAAACCACAAAGTATTGTTTCTAATTAAGTACTGGAGCAATGTTTAAAAATCAGTGTGAGATGGGCATGGTAGCTTACGCCTGTAATCCCAGCACTTTGAGAGGCTGAAGAGGGTGGATCATGAGGTGAGGTCAAGAGATCGAGACCAGCCTGGCCAACATAGTAAAACCTCATCTCTACTAAAAATACAAAAATTAGGCATGGTGGTGCACGCCTGTAGTCCCAGCTACTTGGGAGGCTGAGGCAGAAGAATCGCTTGAACCTGGGAGGTGGAGGTTGTGGTGAGGCGAGATAGTGCCACTGCACTTCAGCTTGGGCAACAGAGTGATACTCCATCTCAAAAAAAAAATTAGGGTGAAATTAAGTAGTAGTGTTTTACAAAAAATGAATTTTGAAAGGGTGTGTGTACGTGTTTAGGTCATGCTTTTTTGGGCTAGTTAGTATGAAATCTATTTACCTAAATTCTGTAAGACTACTTAAAATGTTTATTAAATTTTGAAATTCATGTAACATGTTAGGATCATAGCCTTGACTTGAGAAATAACTGGTTCCCGATCATTGCTTTCTGGGTTATGCACCTTGCAGTGATTACTTCTCCTCTTCTGTGTCCAGGTGACTGGATACTGTTGACTGATTAGGTAATTTATTTTAATGAAAACACACCACGTAGATGGTGCTGATAAGTCATAGACTTTGGCAAACTTTTCAGCATTCCCCAAGCAGTGTGGGCCCCTGCTTCTGCAGAGCTGACAGCTGGAGGGATCAGGCACTAATGTTTTAGTTTAATGAGAGACGTGCTATATGCAGCAAAAAAGCTGAGATGAGCTAATCTAACAGTGAACTTGCAGTTTACAGAGGAGAAGACATCTGATATAAAATGTAGAAGTTAGCCAAATGGTCATGAGCTGTGAAGAGCTTTCCATAGGTGAGAAAGTGCATTTGAAATGCACTTACTTGAGAATCCAACTCTGAAGTGAATTAGATTGGCTCCATTAAGTCATTTTAAAAGGCCAGGCACCATGGCTCATGCCTGTAATCTCAGCACTTGGGGAGACTGAAACGGGAGGATCTCTCGAGCCCTGGGATCCAAGACTAACCTGGGCAACATGGTGAGACCCCATCTCTACCAAAAAAAAAATATTTAAAATTGTTCAATGGTCCAGATTTCAAGGGTGAAGACAAAAAGTTGTTCAGCCATTTTTCTCAAACTAAAGCTCTCAAGCCGTAAGTGCCTGCTATTGTTTAGGTGTCTAAAATTTTAGTTGCCCAGAATCTAATTTAGAAGAGTAGCTTTCAGGTTGTTATTTTGAAGCCATGAAACCTTTTCTTCAATATTAATTTTGTAAAGAAATTCACTATGTGAAATATGTAATACAGACCTTCTGTGAATGAGGAATGTGGGAGAGATCCTCTGTTGCTCCTTTATGATCATAAAAATACCACATACTTTTTAAGAAAGCTGGTCAATATAAGAAAATATATATAAAAGAAATGTAAAATTGTCCCTAAATTTTACTTAAGTGAAGATAACCACTTTGGCATTTAACTAGATATATTTTATATATCCCTATGTATGCACTCAAAAAATTAATCTGTATAAATAGATCTTTTATGCTGATGCTTTATAACCTGATTGCTTTCACTCTCTAGTCTGTTGTTATCCGTGTCAGAAACTTTGGGTTTATAGCCTTAATAGCTGCACAGTATTTTTGCATAGATGTACCATATATTAATTCCCTATTCATGACATTTGGGCTGTTGCTATTTTTCACTTTTACAAGTGACTCCTCTGCAGTGACTCTTCTTTTCTATTCATGTTTGTAAACTTTTGTGATTATCTTCTTAGAATAAATTCCTGGGTAAAGAATTTCTAGGTCAAAGGGCACACACACTAAAAATTTTCATAAATTGCCAAACAATGTATTTAATTAATAATGAATATCAAAATATTTACATTTTGACTCTCTTTATGCAGGCAAATTTTTATTTCCTGTGTTGTTTTAAACTAAATTGAAAGAAAAAAATTGAGTGGTAAAAAATATTTGAAAAAATGTTTTACCTTTAACAAATTTAAATATTTTATATAATTCATAAAAGAAAGCCATGCTCTCTAATACTTGTTTAAAAATATTAATCTTTAAAGTAAAATCTTTGAAATTAAGTTATTTCAAAATGTTTTCATTTAGGTAATGTTTGGGCTTCCAAATATGAATAACTGTTTCTTTCATATGTCAATATTAAGAAAAATATTTTGAAGGTAACATTGGTTGATCTCTAACATTTTCCTTTCACTTCAATGTTTGCATTGTATGAAAATAGTCTTACTGCCATTAACACATTTTCATTATAGGCAGCATAATGGAGAGCAGTGTTTCAATAGCCCTTTGTCAGATGGGTAGATTGCAAAATTTGCTCCCATTCTGTAGGTTTCCTGTTCACTCTGATGATAGTTTCTTTTGCTGTGCAGAAGCTCTTTAGTTTAATTAGATCCCATTTTTCAATTTTGGTTTTTGTTGCCGTTGCTTTTGGTGTTTTAGACATGAAGTCTTTGGCCATGCCAATGTCCTGAATGGTATTGCCTAGGTTTTCTTCAAGGATTTTTGTGGTTTTAGGTCATATGTTTAAGTTTTTAATCCATCTCGAGTTAATTTTTTATAAGGTGTAAAGAAGGGGTCCAGTTTCAGTTTTCTGCATATGGCTAGCCAGTTTTCTCAGTACCATTTATTAAATAGGGAATCCTTTCCCCATTGCTTGTTTGTGTCAGTTTTGTCAAAGATCAAATGGTTGTAGATGTGTGATGTTATTTCTGAGGCCTCTGTCCTGTTTCATTGGTCTATATATCTGTTTTGGTACCAGTACCATACTGTTTTGGTTACTGTAGCCTTGTAGTATAGTTTGAAGTCAGGTAGCATGATGCCTCCAGCTTTGTTCTTTTTGCTTAGGATTATCTTGGCTATGTGGGCTCTTTTTTGGTTCCATATGAAGTTTAAAGTAATTTTTTTTCAATTCGGTGAAGAAAGTCAATGGTAGCTTGATGGGGACAGCATTGAATCTATACATTACTTTGGGCAGTATGGCCATTTTCACAATATTGATTCTTCCTATCCATAAGCATAGAATGTTTTTCCATTTGTTTGTGTCCTCTCTTATTTCCTTGAGCAGTGGTTTGTAGTTCTCCTTGAAGAGGTTGTTCACATCCTTTGTAAGTGGTATTCCTAGGTATTTTATTCTCTTTGTAGCAATTATGAATGGGAATTTGGTCGTGATTTCGATCTCTGTTTGTCTATTATTGGTGTATAGGAATGCTTGTAATTTTAAAACATTTATTTTGTATCCTGAGACTTTGCTGAAGTTACTTATCAGCTTAAGGAGATTTTGGGCTGACACGATGGAGTTTTCTAAATATACAATCATGTCATCTGCAAACAGAGACAATTTGACTTCCTCTTTTCCTATTTGAATACCTTTTATTTCTTTCTCTTGCCTGATTGCTCTGGCCAGAACTTCTAACACCATGTTGAATAGGAGTGGTGAGAGAGGGCATCCTTGTCTTATGCCGGTTTTCAAAGGCAATGCTTCCAGTTTTTGCCTATTCAGTATGATATTGGTTGTGGATTTGTCATAAATAGCTCTTATTATTTTGAGATACATTCCATCAACACCTAGTTTATTGAGAGTTTTTAGCATGAAAGGGTGTTGAATTTTATTGAAGGACTTTTCTGCATCTATTGAGATAATCATGTGGTTTTTGTCATCGATTCTATCATATAATGATGGATTACATTTATTCATTTTCATATGTTGAGCCAACCTTTCATCCCAGGAATGAAGCCAACTTGATTGTGGTGGATAAGCTTTTTGATGCACTACTGGATTAGCTTTGCAGTATTTTATTTAGGATTTTCCCAACGATGTTCATCAGAGATATTGGCCTGAAATTTTCTTTTTTGTTGTGTGTCTGCCAGGTTTTGGTATCAGGATGATGCTGGCCTCATAAAATGAGTTAGGGAGGATTATCTCTTTTTCTATTGTTTGGAATAGTTCAGAAGGAATGGTACCAGCTCCTCTTTGTACCTCTGGTAGAATTCGGCTGTGAATCCTTCTGGTCCTTGACTTTTTTTGGTTGGTAGGCTATTCATTACTGCCTCAATTTCAGATCTCATTATTGGTTCATTCAGGGATTCAACTTCTTCCTGGTTTAGACTTGGGAGGGTGTATGTGTCCAGGAATTTATTCATATCTCCTAGGTTTTCTAGTTTATTTGCATAGAGAGTTTTCTAGTATTCTCTGATGGTGGTTGGTATTTCTGTGGGATCAGTAGTGATATATCCCCTTTATCCTTTTTTATTTCATCTATTTGATTCTTCTCTTTTTTCTCCTTTATTAGTCTGGCTAGTGCTGTATTTTGTTGATCTTTTCAAAAAAGCAGCTCCTGGGTTCACTGATTTTTTTGAAGGGTTTATCATGTCTCTGTCTCCTTCAGTTCTGCTCTGATCTTAGTTATTTCTTGTCTTCTGCTAGCTTTTGAATTTGTTTGCTCTTGCTTCTCTAGTTCTTTTAATTTTGAGGTTAGGGTGTCGATTTTAGATCTTTTCTGCTTTCTCTTGTGGGCATTTAGTGCTATAAATTTCCCTTTACACACTGCTTTAAATGTGTCCCAGAAATTCTGGTACACTGGTCTTCGTTCTCATTGATTTCAAAGGACATTTTTATCTGTGCCTTCATTTCGTTATTTACCCAATAGTCCTTCAGGAGCAGATTGTTCAGTTTCCATGTAGTTGTGTGGTTTTGAGTGAGTTTCTTAATCTTGAGTTCTAATTTGATTGCACTGTGATCTGGGAGACTGTTTATTATGATTTCTGTTCTTTTGCATTTGCTGAGGAGTGTTTTACTTCCACTTATGTGGTCAACTTTAGAATAAGTGCGATCAGGCGCTGAGAAGAATGTATATTCTGTTGATTTAAGGTGGAGAGTTTTGTAGATGTCTTTTAGGTCTGCTTGATCCAGAGCTGAGTTCAAGTCCTGAATATCCTTGTTAATTTTCTGTCTCATTGATCTGTCTAATATTGACAGTGGGGTGTTAAAGTCTCCCATTGTTATTGTGTGGGAGTCTAAGTCTCTTTGTGGGTCTCTAACAACTTGCTTTATGAATCTGGGTCCTCCTGCATTGGGTGCATATGTATTTAGGACAGTTAGTTCTTCTTGATGCATTGATCCCCTTACTGTTACATAATGCCCTTGTCTTTTTCGATCGTTATTGGTTTAAAGTCTGTTTTATCAGAGATTAGCATTGCAACTCCTGCTTTTTTTTTGCTTTCCTTGTGCTTGATAAATATTCCTCCGTCCTTTTATTTTGAGCGTATGTGTGTCTTTGTATGTAAGATGGATCTCCTGAATACAGCACACTGATGGGTCTTGACTCTATCCAATTTGCCAGTCTTTGTCTTTTAATTTGGGCATTTATCCCATTTACATTTAAGGTTAATATTGTTATGTGTGAATTTTATCCTGTCATTATGATGCTAGCTGGTTATTTTGCCCACTAGTTGATGCAATTTCTTCATAGTGTTGATGATCTTTACAATTTGGTATGTTTTTGCAGTGGCTGGTACAAGTTGTTGTTTTCCATGTTTAGTGCTTCCTCCAGGAACTCTTGTAAGTCAGGCCTGTTGGTGACAACATCTCTGAGCATTTGCTTGTCTGTAAAGGATTTTATTTCTCCATCACTTATGAAGCTTACTTTGGCTGGATATGAAATTCTGGGTTGAAATTTATTTTCTTTAAGAATGTTGAATATTGGCCTCCATTCTCTTCTGGCTTGCAGGGTTTCTGCAGAGATCTGCTGTTAGTCTGATGGGCTTTCCTTTGTGGGTAACCTGACTTTTCTCTCTGGCTACACTTAACCTTTTTTCCTTCACTTCAACCTTGGTGAATCTGATGATTATGTGCCTTGGGGTTGCTCTTCTCAAGGAGTGTGTTTGTGGTATTCCTTGTATTTCATGAATCTGAATCTGAATGTTGGCCTGTCTTGCTAGGTTGGGGAAGTTCTCCTGGATAATCTCCTGAAGAGTGTTTTCCAACTTGGTTCCATTCTCCACAACTCAGTTTATTTCATTAAGTTGGCCTTTAATCTCTGATATCCTTTCTTCCGCTTGATCAATTCAGCTATTGATACTTGTGTATGCTTCACAAATTTCTCATGCTGTGTTTTTCAGCTCCATCAGGTCATTAGTGTTCTTCTCTAAACTGGTTATTCTAGTTAGCAATTCTTCTGACCTTTTATCAAGGTTCTTAGCTTCCTTGCATTGGGTTAGAACATGCTCCTTTAGCTAGGAGGAGTTTGTTATTACCCACCTTCTGAAGCTTACTTCTGTCAATTCATTAAACTCATTCTCCATCCAGTTTTGTTCCCTTGCTGGAGTTGTGATCTTTTGGAGGAGAAGAAATGTTGTGGCTTTTGGAATTTTCAGACTTTTTGTGCTGGTTTCTCCCCATCTTTGTTGATTTACCTACCTTTGGTCTTTGATGTTGGTGACCTTCAGATGGGGCCTCTGAGTGGACATGCTATTCCTTTCTGTTTGTTAGTTTTCTTTCTAACAGTCAGGACCCTCTGCTGCAGGTCTGCTGGAGTTTCCTGAAGATCCACTCCAGACCTTGTTTTCCTGGGCATCACCAGTGGAGGTTGCAGAACAGAAAAGATTGCTGCCTGTTCTTTTCTCTGGAAGCTTTGTTCCAGAGGGGCACATGCCAGATGCCAGCCAGAGCTCTCCTGTATGAGGTGTCTGTCAGACCCTACTGGGAGGTATCTCCCAGTCAGGATACACAGGGGTCAGGGACCCACTTGAGGAGGCAGTCTGACCCTTAGCAGAGCTCGAACGCTGAGCTGGGAGGTTCACTGAATGCTCTTCAGAGTCATCAGGCAGGGACGTTTAAGTTTGCTGAAGTTGTGCCCACAGCCAACCCTTTCCCCAGGTGTTCTGTCCCAGGGAGATGGAGGTTCTATCTATTAGTCCCTGACTGGGGCTGCTGCCTTTCTTTTCAGAGGTGCCCTGCCCAGAGAGGAGAAATCTGGTAGTCTGGCCTTAGCGGCCTTGCTGAGCTGTGGTGGGCTCTGTCCAGTTCAAAGTTCCCAGTGGCTTTGTTTACACTGTGAGGATAAAACTACCTATTCAAGCCTCAGCAATGGCGGATGCCCTTCTTCTGCCAAACATTCAATTATGTCAGATGTTTCTTTTCCCAAGCATTCAATATTGTCAGGTTTTTCTCCTGCCAAATATTTAATCTGATGTGTCTTCTGCCAAATGTTCAATCTTGTCTGATATTTCTTCTGCTGACGATGCAGTCTTCTCAGATGTTTCTTCTGACACACATGCAATCTTCTTAAATGTTCTTTCTGCCAAATATTGAATCTTGTCAGATGTTTCTTTTGCTATTTCTTCCCACAAAGCCTCCCAACTCTGATGGGGTGTTTCTCTTACATCCACCCAGCTCCTCTTGTTGACTGCAGCCCCCAGTTGGCAGTTCCTGTTACCTCTTCTTATTGTATGTTTCATACAAGTTTTTTCTCTTGAGCATAAGGATCTGCTTCAGCTTCCGTACTTTTTTTTCTGGATGGAAGATTTGTGAATCTTCCTGAAGTTATCAACTGGAATTTTGCACTGATGTTATAAGAAGATGTTATCACAGAAGGAGCTCAGGGGCACCTGGCACTTCTGGCTCTTTACAGCAAAGATCTTTTTCATGGCTGTGACTACCAACTTCAATAACACCACAGCTCACCCTCACTCTTCCTCACCTCCCCTCCGACCCCAATGCCAGCAAGCAATTTGCTCTGGCCAAGATCTCTGACAGAGGTCTCATCGTCTTGAGACTCTTAGAGAACAAACACACCATCTCCAGCCTCTCAGAGCAGAAACACACAGTCTCCAGCCTCTCACAGAAAAAATAAATAAATAAATAAATAAATAAATAAATAAATAAACCTCACCATCTCCAGTTTCTCAGAGGAGAGTCTGGCCATCTCCTACTTTGCAGTGAATAGACTCACTGTCTCCAGACTGTCAGATGAGAGACTTACGTCTTGCAGCCTCTAAGAAGAGGACCCCAATGTCTCCAGCCTCTCAAAGGAGAAACTCATCATCACCAGCTTTTGGAGGAGAAACTGGCTGTCTCCAGCCTCTCAGAGAATGACCTTTCCATCTCCAGCCTCTCACAAGAGAAACTCACCATGTCCAGCTTCTGGAAAATAACTCACCATCTGCAGCCTCTCAGAGGAGAAACTGGTTGTCTTTAGCCTCTCAGAAAAGGAATTCACAGTCTCTAGCATCTCAGAGGACAAACTTATCATCCTGAGCCTCTCAGAGAAGAAACTTACTGTTTCCAGCCTCCTAGACAGAAACTTGCTGTCTCCAGCCTCTCAGAGGAGAAACGGTCACCAGCCTCTTAGAAGAAGAAAATCTTGCTGTCTCCAGCCTCTTGGAAAAAAAACTGGCCATCTCCAGCCTCTGAGAAGAGGACCTCATTGTCTTCAGCCTCTCAGAAAAAGAACTCACCAACTCCATCCTCTCAGAGGAAGAACTCACCATATCCAGCCAATCACAGAGACTCACACTCCCCAGCCTCTCAGAGGAGAGACTCACTGTCTTCGCCTCTCAGAGAAAAAACTCACTGTCTCCAGCCTCTCAGAAAAGAAACTAACCATCTCCGGTCTCTTGCAGAGGGATCTCACTATCTCCAGCCTCTCACAGGGGGACTTCATGTCTCTAGCCTCTCACAGGATGACCTCACTTTCTCCAGCCTCTTAGATGAGGAACTCACAGTCTCTGGGCTCTAAGAGAAGAAACTCATCATCTTGAGTCTCTCAGAAGAGTAACTGACCATCTCCAACTTTCCAGCAAAGAAACTGGCCATCTCCTACCTCTCAGAAAAGAACCTCACCATCTCCAGCCTCTCAGAAATGGAATTGGCCATCTCCTGCCTCTCAGAGGAGGACCTCAATGTCTCCAGACTCTCAGAGGAGGAATTCACAGTCTCCAGGCTCTCTGAGATGAAACTCACTATCCTGAGCTTCTGAGAAGAGAAGCTTACCATCTCCAACCTCCCAGTAAAGAAACTGGCCATCTCCTGCCTCTCAGAATGAGGATACACCACCTCCAGACTCTCAGAAGAGAGACTTGTCATCCTCAGCTTCTCAGAGAAGACACTCACCATCTCCACTTTATTGGAAGAAAAGCTCACAGTCTCCAGCCTCTCAGAAGAAAATCTGGTCATCTCCAGCATCTCAGAGGAGCACTTCTCCTTCTCCAGCCTCTCAGAGGGTGGAACTTGTAGTCTTTAGCCTCTTAGAGGAGAAACTCATCATCTCCAGCCTTCTCTCAGAAGGGAAACTGGCTGTCTCCAGCCTCTCAGAGGAGAAACTTTTTGTCTCTAGCCTCTCAGAGTAGGACCTCACCATCTCCAGCTTCTCAGAAAATAAATTAATCATCTTCAGCCTCTCAGAGGTGAAACTCACAATCTACAGCCTCTCAGAAGAGTACCTTGCAGTCTGCAGTCTCTCAAAGGAGAAAATTGCCATCTCCAGCCTCTCGAAGAAGAAACTGTCTGCAGCCTCTCAGATGAGGAAATCTTCATCTCCAGTCACTCAGGAAATAAACTTACCATCTCCAGCCTCTGAAAGAAGAAACTTGCTGCCTCCAGCCTCTCAAAGGAGGAACTCACCATCTCCAGTCTCTCATAGAAGGGCATAATTTTCTCCAGCCTCTCAGGAAAAAAAAAGACTTGCCATCTCCAGCCTCTCAGGAGAAACTCATTGTCTCCAGCCTTTCAGAGGAGAGAGTCACCATGTCCAGTTTCTCAGAGGAGGAGCTCACTGTCTTCAGCCTCTCAAAGTAGGGCTTTACCATCTCCTGCTACTCAGAGAAGAAGCTCCCCACCTCCAGCCTCTCAGTGGAGACAGTGGGGTTACAATGGCATAGCATTGCCCCAACCCCCAAAAGAAATAGTATCGAAGTCCAATGTAAACCTATTAATTACGTGGCTGTGCTACAATCAAAACATAGATCTCTGACGTCAGCCTTATTGTTCTTCATTGTGTTGATCAAGGTAAGCATGTGCTTTCATCTTTAGTTAAGAGATTCATGAGTATAGGACACAGCTTAGTGTTTAAGTCTTTTGAGTCTTAGACAAGGAATTTCCAACTATAAATGAAGCCATACTAAAACATAAATGGCAGAGGTTTCTGGGTATCCTCGGTGTCCAAAGTGACTGTCAGCAAGTTTATTCATGTTCTGTCTCTCTCTTCCTATAGAAGTGCCCTAGCCCTCAAGTCCTCCTCACTCGAAGCCTATGGACTCCTAATTTGCACACAAGTCTAACAAGCCACATCATCTTGTTTTTCAGTTCATAGCACTGTGAAACAGGAGACATTAGAGGCAAGCATTGATAGCAGTAAAAAGGGCAACCACTAGGAAAGAGTCAGAATATTAACAAACAAATGTCAGAAATGGAAGTCAAATAGTCCAGGACTAATCTAAGGGCAGATATTACCATATACAATAAGCCATTGGGATGTCTCTAGATTTCAGCATAGTTCATTAGTTTATGCCCAAAACAGTGACTTAAATCTTCCTCCCAAAAAGATGAACTTGTGATTATTGTTCAATATAAAATGTAATACATTAAAAAATATAAGACTTTTTTTTGAGACAGAGTCTCACTCTGTCGCCAAGGCTGAAGTGCAATGGTGAGATCTCGGCTTACTGCAACTTCCCCCTCCTGGGTTCAAGCAATTCTCCTGTCTCAGCCTCCCAAGTAGCTGGGTTTACAGGTGCCCACCACCACAACCGGCTAATTTTTTGTATTTTTAGTAGAGATGGGGTTTCACCATGTTGGCCAGGCTGGTCTCAAACTCCTGACCTCAGATGATCCACCTGCCTCGGCCTCCCAAAGTGCTGGGATTACAGCCGTGAGCCCCCGCGCCTGGCTCGGTGCAGCTGCCAGTATGGGGCTGAATGGCCTTTTATTAAAAATGTAAGACATTTTAAATAAAAGAAGTTAAAAAGTCTGTGGAAGTATTGAGGGTGAGAATCTCTGCTAGCTAGATCTCTATATTAAGTGATGAGATAAGCTTTATTAAAAATGAGAATCAGTTCATACTTAACCTAAGCCTGACAGTGCTGGGCAGAGAGTCCTGCTGTACCACTACCAATGGAGCCAGGCAAGGATGCCTCTCTGCTAGACACAGCACATATGGACAAAGCCACAAGCTATGGCTCATCCCAATAGAATCTTACTAGTTCCCTGGTAAGGTTAGCTATAATGTCTTCTAACTCACATCATTTGCATTAAAAAAAGAAAGAAACAGATGATGACTGATACACATGTTGGTTGGTAGAGCTTTCAGGTTCCTCTTTCCATGTAGTTGAGGAAATTCCTCAGCCCATTGTCACCTCGGATCTCATGCTGCAACTCCATCCTTAGCTCAACACCCACTGGCCCCTGCTTTCAAACTGTTGCTGGTCTTCAGGTAGAGCAGGTTCTGCAGATCAAAGGACATTTTTCACTAAAAATCTCTGACATCAGAGACAGAGACTACATATCTATAATGAACCTTTCCGAAACCTGTCCATTAGAAAGCCACTTCTCAGTACAGAGGTGGACCTTGGAGACTTTCCAGGATTTTCACATCCATCTGCGAAGAGGAAAAGAACTCCTGAAACTGGGCTGACTTCATAACCAGTTTAATTTCACACATCTCACCTTTCTGGAGCTGCCTTGTTTTTCCCTTCTTGCATCACTGCAGAGAAAATTCATGGACTTCCTAAAGGTGAGACTCTGACCCATTAGTAAGAAAGTCTTGCTTTATGTTAAGTTGGCTTTCTCTGGAGATCTCCTAACTGCTTTATAAACATTCTTTCACACCTCCAAGCAGGTAGGTGGTAACTCATATTCAATTGTTACTTTAGTTTCAGTGATCCCCAGGAGCACTGATCCCCTGACCAGATGCCATGGAGGCTGCTAAGTCAGGTAGCTGGCTGGGCTGTGGAACAATGGGCAAAACCACAGCTCAGCCCCATTGTCTTTGGCTGCAGATTACCCAGCAACAGGGCCGCTCTCCAGATGCAGGTCAAGGAGGAGTGGACCCTGAGGCCTGGCAGCAGGCACACTTAGCTACCTGGAGGCCTTCTGAGGGAAGCCCCATATCCGGAGCCAGTACCTGAGCTACAGCCGCTACGTGCAGGTTGCGCACTGATAGAAGTGGCCCTGCAGCCTCCAACTTCCCGCTTCCCCTCTGGGCCCCAGCAGCGCAGACTCCCATGTCAGATGCCACTGCCGCGCCTAAGTCAGGTGGTCCGCCTTGCAGCAGCACGAGGGCGGGAAAAGGCCACTCAGCCTCATACTGGCAGCTGCACAGTGCCCAGAACCCACCACCTCGTGCCAAGGAAGAGCACACCCTAGAATGGGAGGTTGGGCACACCCTAGAATGGGAGGAGCAGCAGAGCCTAGAATGGGAGGCTGGTGTCCTCGGGGACCCTAAGGCTGTCTGGGACCAGCCCTGCCAGCCTCCACCAAGGACTCTGCTGCAGCTGTCACCTGCACATAGGGCTCGGTAACAGAGATGGCAACCCCCAACACTGCCGGCCCCACCAGCAGTGAAAAATACAAGGCCAGAGGCTACCAGGGCTTCTAATTCAGGCGGTTGGCAGGACAGCTGCAAGAAGGGAACCCGCAGCTGCAGGAAGAGAACCTGGCGGCCACACAGTTCCCAGCGCCCACGACCCGGGGCTCAGGGCGCGGGAGAAAGAGGAGCTGACCGTAGGGTGGGAGGGAGGTGCACTCGGCGACCCTCAGGCTTTCTGGGACCAGGCCTCCCAGCCTCCGCCTGGGCTCAGCTGCAGCTGCCACCTGCACATGGCGCGCGGCAGCACAGATGGCAATCCAATACCCTGCCCGCACCACCAGCCCTGGACCCCAGGGAGAGACATTGCCACTTCAACTAATTCAGGTGGTCCGTGCCGCAGCTGTCGGAGGATGGGAACCGGTGCTCAGCCCCATCCCAGTGGCTGCACAGTGCCCAGGACCCACGACGCGGAGCTCTCGGAGCTGGCCAAGATTCCATATCGGACCCTATGGTGAAAGGGCCATGCAGTCGGTGACATTCAGGACGTCTGGGACCAGCCCAGTCGATCTCCCCCATGGGCTCAGTTGCAGCTGCCACCTGCACAAGGCACCCTGCAGCAGCGGTGGCAACCGCTGCCCTGCCCACTGCCACCACCAATGAGGATCCCAGGGTCGGCCGCATAATTCACCCGGTGGGCCCTGCAGCTTCAGGAGAGTGAGAAAGGTCCACTCAGCCCCATCCCGGTTGCTGCATATTGCCCAGCTCCCAGGACCTCACACTCTGTGCGTGGGACAAAAAAAGAGTGGAACCTGGGGTTGGAGGGATGTACACTAAGCGACCCTCAGCTGTGTGGGACCAGCCCTGCCAACTTCCATCGTGGGCTCAGCTGCAGCTGCCACCTGCACACGGTGCGGGGAAGCAGTGATGGCAACCTTTCACCGTGCCCACGCCACCAGCAGCGTGAAACCCAGGGCCAGACGTCACCAGGAGCCTAATTCAGGCGATTGGCCTGGCAGCTACAGGGCGGGAACTCGCTGCTCAGCCATCGGATTTAGGCTGCTGCACAGTCCCCAGCACTGGCGACCTCGTTCTCTGGGCGCAGGGCAAGGAAGAGAGGACCCCAGTTGGGAGGGTGGTGCACTCGGAGACCTGAAGGCCCTCTGGGACCAGCCTTGCCAGCCTCCGCCTTGGGTTCAGCTGCAGCTGTCATCTGCATATGGCGCGCGGCAGCAGAGGTGGCAACTCTCAACGCTGCCCGAGCCACCAGCAGCGCGGACCCCTGGCCAGATGCCCCAGCAGCGCCTAATTCGGGCGGCCGGCCCTTCAGCTGCAGGAGGGGGGAACCAGTGGCTCAGCCCCATGTAGGCGGCTGCACAGTGCCCAGCACTCAAGACCTCGCGCTCAAAAGAGGGCACAGGAGGAGCAGCTGCAGGGGGCAGCGTCGTTAGGCGGGCCCTGAGACAGCTGGGACCGCGCGCTCGGCTCTAGGGAGCTCGGCCAGTCCACAGGCGTCTCAGCAGCAGCTGCCACCTGCATGCGGTGCCGGCGAGTGCTCGGCTCAGGGCGGTTTCTGGCCACACGCAGTTTCTGGCCACGCGCAAGGCGGTTGCCTTTTGAGGTCCCATGGGCGCTGGGGCCCAACTGCTCTGCTCCGTATATTATTTATTCTCCGAGAGGTTGGAGACGTCCTTGTCCGAGAAGTTGGAGGGTCCCTGTCTGAGGTCTGGGCCAGACTGCCTTGCTTTCTGGTGCTGGGCCGGATGGGGGCCGGGTGGGGGCTGGGCTGGGGGAAGGGCGAGGGCGAGTTGTGGCGTCTCTGAAGCCAATAGCTGGGCCATGAAGATGATCTTGGCTGTGGAGAGCCAGAAGGGCCAGGTGCGCCTGAGCTCCTGGAGTAGTAACTGCATCTTCTCTGACCCCTGGTACCAGACTCCAGATGAGGATGTCGGGATGATACACAAAGCTGCGTCCAGGGGAACGCGTGGGAGCTGCAGCTGAGGCTCCCGCTGAAGAGAAAAGACCAGTCTGAAATCTACAAGAACAGGTGTCGGGAACTGCGGGCTGCAGGCTTGGGGGTTGAGGGAGGAGGTGGGCAGGTGGGGAGAAGCACCTCCTTCAGAATTGGGGGCTTGGGGAGTGGGGGCCAGGGGAGGCGTGGAAAGAATAGTGTGTGCGGGGTGGGCCGTCCTCGTCCCCAGGGCGCTGGCTTTCTTCCTAGGAGGACTCCGCAGAGCCTGGGATGTGGACGCCTTGGGGGTGGAGGGCCCAGGCCATCTTTATGAGCAGCAAAATAAACCCAAAACTTTAGCTGGTTCCTCCACCCACAGTTCCTCTTACAGAGCACTTCAGAGAGAACTTTAAAGTGATTTAATAAAATTAAGTATATATTGTTTTATTTTTAATGCACACATTTTAAAAGATAATGTTAGATACGTTATGGAAAGGTACATAATGAAAGAAATAATTCCCATAATATATCACCTTCTGGGCTAATAATTTTTTGGCTAAAATCCAATATTTTATATCAATGAATACCTATGTAAATATGTTCTTTGCTGAGAGACCTTAGAAGGAAACTTTGAAGTAGGAAGAAGGTTCACGTTCTTGAATAAGAAGACTCATTTTTCTCGAGGTGTGAGATCTTTATTAATTTTACATAAATCAAAGTTATCAAAGTTAACATTTTTGAATTACACATGCTGTCTTTTAATATTAAGATGGCTTAACATTTTTGTAATGGAGAAAAAAAGTCTTGCCTTTCAAAATGTGCTATTAATTTGCATAAATAGTTTGCTAACAGCTGAAAAGATAGATAAATGAATGCAAGAGAATAGAAAATCCAGGAACACCCAAATATATGTAAGAACGTATAACAGGGTAATGGTGAGACTTTATACTAATAAGAAAAGAGTTATTTTTATAAATGAAATGCCTGCTTTTTGGAAGAAACTAGCTAGATTTTTATGTCACAAAAATAAGTTTCTCATTGAATATAGATTATTTTAAATATGCAAAATGAGAAAAATACCAGAAGAAAACGCAAATGCCTATTTATACAAATACATTTTTGTGTTGACAAAGACCTTCCTAGGAACCTCTCAAGCAAGCATTCTGAAAGTTTATTTAGCAAAATTAAAATTAAATCACACTGAATATGAGAAAAAGATAAAATAAAAGACATCATACTTATATAATATTTACCACGTGTTTTTGTGTGTGTACATATTAAAAATGGCTATTCATTTTACAGAGAATTCTTCCAAATCAACATGAAAATACCTCTAAAACTGGGCAAAGTACTTTTTCCAGCTCTGCAAGTCACCTATGCACATAGGAAAAAAATACTTAATGTGTCCGATAAGAGAAGGACTTTAATTTAAAAAAGGAATAAAATGCCGTTTTCTGTCCTAAGTTTGTGAAGATGAGGAGCAGTGATATTTACACTTCTGCTTAAAGTTAAGTTGCTGATGACTTTTCAAAAAGACAATTTGGTGGTAAGTACCATGTTTAAACTATGCGTATGCCCTTTCTTGATCAATTCCATTATAGTAAAATACATTTAGGAAACAACGAGAGATACATGCAATTTGTTTTTCTCAGCAGTGCTTAAAATATGATTGTATTAAAGAGAATCCATATAACAAATTTCATAAATAAATTTCAGTGAATATATAGTATGGGATAATATGAGACCACTGAAAGTAATATCTACAAAAGTATGTTGACATATGAAAATGTATTTTGGTGTATCAGGTGAAGATAACATTCAGTTTGATTACACATACAAACTGACTATGTTCTTGCTTTATCTGAAAATATGTACCAAATGTGATAAAATTTGTTATTTGGGGACAATTGTATTATAATGAACTGTTTTTCCTTTTTAAGATTTGTGATTTCTTCACTGAGCAGGGGATTGGGGATCTGTGGTATATAGCATATAGCATAATTATTACTAATGAAATAATCCTTAGGAAGAGCAGAAATATTAATTTTGCAGCTAAAAGTAATTTCTCACTTTCTATTTTTAAATTTTTATTTCTATGGATTAGTATAGTCTGTGAACTTTCAGTGTCTTCAGAAGTGAAGATAAACTTTATCTGTGATAGTGGTTTTATATATGTACATATTTTATTAAACATATTTTTATTATGTATAGATTTATTACATATATGCCAATAATTACATATTAATCATTTTAGTTTAGTGTTATTATTATGAAAATAAAAATAGTGAATATAAGTAACTATTACCATTGCAAAAATATCACTTTATTTGTAGCTGTTTTAAAAATATTAAACTTCCCAACTGTATTTATTCATTTTTAAAATCTATTTATTCATCAAATACAAGCTGAATACCTGTTATGTAAAAGGCACATTATACTAACTATCAAGACCCTTCCATTCTTAAAAATTTCATGTGTACCTGCCCACCCTGAGCAAGCTGAGAGATTTAAAATTAGAGAATTAGGACTGAATCTCAACTGAAGCTTGTCCTCTCATCTTTCAAAAAAAATAAAATCATTTCTGATGTGGGAAAGTAATGCAAGATAACATCAGTGGCCACTTTGAAAATGTATACGTCTTAAACAGTGATATTAATTATCATAAATACTTACCCTACATGCATTTTATACATGTAAATACTAATTTACATACATGCATACATTTAGATTCTGTAAATCTAAATATTTAATTAAATGAGCCATATTTATTTATTTGAATCCTGTCTTCTATTAGGCTTAAAGTTTTTAAAAATTAAGGAATTGTTTTGTTTTAAAAATTTGCTTTTATTTCAACGCTCCTTTTCCGTAGTACATTTAAGTGCTTAAAATTGATTTAAATGTTAATCATACGACTAGGACTTCCATTGTCCTATTGTATATACCGTATTCCACTTGATGTAGCCACCATGGATTGTGTGATGCTGCCTTATTTTATGTATCAATAAAATAATGTTTAAAATGCTGAAAAATATAGTTGTAATAAATAATGAATTATAAGTAGCATTTCAATGTCAGAGATGTTGAAATATGAGAAAATGAGAATCTTAGAATCATTGAAATACAGTCTTATCTCGAACCTTTAAATCATAACACAAAGGAAGTATAATGGTACCATTTTACCTAATTAAAATGTTGTCTTTATTAAGTAGTAGTAATAATTATAATATCTAGCAAGCGAAAGATCTTAAAATAGTATTCAAGTGCAAGATCAACTAAACCGAGAGGCCAAGCTCTTTCTGTCCAAATAGGTCACTCTTTCATTGATGCAGTGAATAATAAGAGCTAATAAATATTGTCCCTTTTCAGGAGGAAATTAATATTTGTTTTGAAAGCAGAGGAATAGCATGCTATTTATTGTTTGCAATTACGTGAATCATTGTATGTTTTGAGATAGTGGACTAAACTTCTCTCAATATCTTCTCAATTTTGTAGGATGGTTCCACATTTGGCCTGTGCCAATGGCTGCCCAGAAGTGGTAACTTTTCTGGTGCACAGAAAATGCCAGCTTAACATCTGTGACAGTGAAAACAAGACACCTCTAACGAAGGTATATAGTAGCCAGTTCTTTCAGCATGAGATGGATTTGGCTTAAATACATAGAATAAAAATGAATTTGTCTCATTGAAATATAACTAGTTTGTGAAACCTGTGGAATACTTATTTTAATTTCCTACAATTTACAATTTATTTCTTGTTCTAATACTGACAGGCTATAATGTGCCAAGAAGATGTGAAACTATTCTGCTAGACCTTGGTGCTGATCCAAATATTACCGATGTCTATGGCAACACTGCTCTCCATATGCTGTCTATAATGAGAATATGTCAATGGTAGCAAGACTGTTTTCACACAAGACAAACATCGAAGTGAAAAACAATGTAGAGCAACCAATGTTATTTTCAAAATATTTGAAATCCACTTGTTTTAACATTGACATATGTAAGGGTCAGTTTTTGCTATTTGGAAGCTTAAGCAATCCCTGAATAAAAATAATTTGAAATAATGGTCTAAGATTTTACCTTAAATACTAATATCTTTAAAAAAGTATTAGAGAGTATGGCTTTCTTTTATGCATTTATGGTAGATATTTGAATTTGTTATAGGTAAAACTTTTGTTTTCAATTTTTTTTTGACTGAAGTATTTTTTTTTCTTTCTAAGTAGTGTACAACAACACAGGAAAGCAAAGTTGGCCTGCATAAATTAAGCCAACGTGTAAAATTTAGGAGACCTGCAAAAATCTGTATTTCAGGCTCCTCTTAAATAGTGAAATCTGGTTTCCCTTGAGCCCATATTACTGTTTGGTGTGCTATGAAGAGGCTGTAGCTTCACGCAAAGTCTGTGGTCTCCAGTTTGCCATTGTGCCCACCTAGGGACTTACTCAGGTCATACCCTTTGCCTCTGTAAATATTTTAGTTAACAACTCCTGTCATATAGTATATTTTGGTAAAGATTTCAAGGTTTTCAAGACAGTTGATAGTTATTTATAATATATAGCCTATATTTTGTATTAATTCCTTAATAATGGGTTTGACTTTTAGAATTTAGAAGTTGTTTTTTAAATAATGATTTTTCTTTATATATACCATAAATAATAATCACATTGGAATGCCTATAGGCCTTTTTAGGTTAATTATGGTTATATTTGGATAGGTTATGCATATTGCAGAACACATTTTATCTTTCTCCTCAGCATTGTCTCTGAAAATGGAAGTGATTTAGTGGCTTTTATTATGCTAAAATAACCCATATAGTTCAGCTAGAAATTGTATTGATAAGCCATTGCATTTGTATTTCTGATATTTTGCCAAAAATAAAAAATAATTTTAAGTAGCAATGAAAATGGAAACCAGAATAAAAATGGATTAATGCATTTTAAGAAGTAGATTTGCATTAGGGTCCTAGGATTATAAATATCATTAAAATTGAGAATAAAATTTCATACTGAACTTTGTAACAGCTAAAATTCTGTGACTCTGTAATAGGAGAAACCCAATGGACCATTTAATAATAAGCAATCAAAATTCATTTGAAGCCTATCTCTTTTAATTTAGAGACCATTTCCTTAGTGATCTACTTGGAGCAGGAGCACCTGACTTTGGCAGCTGGGATCCTGGGCCCATTGATAGAAAATAATCAAGTGAGTTTGTATCACTTGGAGGAAACCTCTACCTTTATTGGAAAGCTTTAAAAACTGTAATCCTGAAACTTTAATTCCTCAAATGTTAATATTGCCACAAAACCTATTGTCAAATAAGGATTAGGCAAAGTTCAAGACATTTCTTGAATACTGGACATATAATTCACAGTTTTATAATATTTCTCAAACATAGATGATCATAGGATCTTCCTATTCAGGTACAGTCTTTAAATTCTGGCAAAGTAAATATTCTTTGGAATACAGTTTAAGAAGTACTACTCTAGAGGTAATAATTTAGATCATTGATTTAATAAAAATACTTAAAGTATTTACTACTATGTCATAGGGTTTGAGGATAAACAGATAAAAGATACAGCAGCTGCCCTCAAGAATCTGTTGGTTTAGATAGAAATCAATAAAATTATTACAATATACCATGTGAAATGCTGTGCTAGAAACAAAGATTATTGAAACCAGTGACTGTTTCAAATCATTTTTGGAGCTGACCAGAGTTAATGTGAGTCAGAGGCCGGATGTTTTCAAGTGGAGGAGGAGTGCATGGGAAAGCACAGAGGAGTGAGAAGGAAGGGACAGATTTTATTTGCTTTCTATTTTATGTGTTTAAGTTCATAAGACCTTATATAAGGTATTCAGTTCAGCTGACAAATATGTAATTTTATGAATTATAAATTGTTTTTGCCATTTTACAGGATGGCCTCATACCACTTTTACTTGCCATAACTAAAAGAAGACAGCAAATGGTATAATTTTTACTAACAAAAAATGCAAATGTAAATGCAGTTGATAAAGGTTTAGTCATTTTTTTAAAGTGAGTGTTGTTCTAGAGTCGTAACATTCAAGTTGGAAATATTAAGTTAATCAGCAGATTAGCTTATATTTATTGGATTATAGTGGAAAATATCAAAACAAATCACCAGTTAGGTAGAAAAGCAATTACTTGGACTGGGCAACATAAAGAACATATGTATATGATAGGATTTATATTCTCTTATTATATTGGCTGATGTTATTTACAATCTGATGTTTTTGTCACATTATCTTCTATTAGTAAAGGGTTTTGTATTAGTTTTATAAAATATGAAATTTAACTTTCAGTTTGCTTATTGATTCAATATTGAATTATTATTTTATAGTATTTCTCTACCTTCTGCTTTTTATATACTTTTTCTATAAAATGTAATATGAATCATAAATAGGAATTGAAAATTATTTTGTGTTTTGGATGACTGTTTGCTTTAAGGTGATTTATTTGAAAAATATTAATGTCAGGTTATCCCTAAGTGACTATTAATTGTTACCACCACTGTGAATTCATCATTTTATTTCTTTTTAACTTATGGTGTATTTTAATTTTTTAATTTGTAATCGGTATGTGTAGAAGGAAGAAAGATATGTTTAATTAAATTAACTTTTTATTTAATGAAGATAAGCTGTAGGTGAGTGATAGAAAAGAGGCCTTAGATTCACAAAAGACAGGTTTTAATTTCTAGCTTCTTCATTTGTTAGGGGTGACCTTGCATACATTACTTAGTACCAAGTATGCTTTCCTATATGAAAATGAGGATAATAATATTTCTTTCAGGGGTGATTGTGTGGAAATTAGATTATGTGTATACAGCATTTAATTCAGTTCTTCACACATGCTTATCAGTATCATTAACTGAACAACTACTACTATCATTATTCTTTACATTATTATTTTCAGCCTGCAGATTGCTCTTATTTATCTTACTCCTAACTGATTTTGAATTACAATATATCAGACTAGAGAAGAAATGGATAATTCTTCACTTAAATCTTTGCCTCCTGTAGATGAGTGACCTGAGCACAGTCTTTTGCCCATCAAAGGACTTTATGTTAACCACTTCTACTATGCCATACCCCAGTGGGACATGAATTTTTTTTTTGTCCCTTCCTTTAAGCCTTTGTGGTTATTTACAAAGATGAACACTTGAGCACCCAGGATGCTTATGTTTGTTAGTTCACGTAAATGTTTAATTCTACACTGACAGGCACATATTAAGTTTGTAAAGTTTCTAAGAATGAAGTTCTCTCTCTGTTTAGCACAGCCCTCATGCTTGCAGTATGTCATGGATCATCAGGGATAGCATTCTTCTTCAGAAAAATATTGACATATTTACTCAAGTATTTGTGGAATGACTGCAGAAGATTACGCTGTTGTTAATATTTTTAATCTATGTTTGTACATGTAAAGTCTAGGTGAGATTTCATAGCTTGGCTCAAGTAGTTTTTGAAGGGCAGTGAGTTAATTCACTTCATCAGCCAGAAATCAGGCAAAAAGCTAAACTAGTTAGAAGGAGCAGCGGGTCCAGGATTCTTTATTTTAGGGCTTTTAACACATTTATCCCTACAGATACCAATGTTGTCTATTTGATCCCAAGTATAATCCCAATGCATGGGATAAACATAGTGTCACATTTTCAATTTTTGTAATTAGTAATTTGGGTCTTAAAACGTCCACTTTAGCAAAAAATTTAGTACTGCCTCTGGGCGCTATCCTCTATACCCTCCTCCTTGAATTTTTAAAGGAACTTAAGGGGTTCCCTAAGTCCAAGGAAGACAGTCTTCTTTTACAGTCAGGATGAGGGGGGAGAAAAGACCCTTCTAATCATTGTGTTGTTCCCTCTGATTCTGTTGCTGCATCGTTGCCACTGAAACTGCTTCTTCAGTCTGTTAACAATTGACCTTTGCTACCAGGATGACCTCACTTATCTGGATCCCTCAGTCTTCCTGGTGATTCACATATAGACTTCAAAGTTATTACTTTTTGTTTTAGTTCACATAGATATTCTCAGCCATTATTTCCAAAGTGCCTGTACGCCTGCTCTGACAGTTGGGCCTCCTAGCTTTAGCCACACTCATAGTGACCCTTCTTCTCACACTCAAAACCTGATATGAAACCCACGTCTTAGCTTGGACTTGTCCTAGACCTTCAAGGTAAATTATCCTCTGAATCCCTTGGAATAGTTTGAAACTGTGAGGTCTAAATAATGTTACAGGAAGAAATCAGAGATTCCTTTCTTCTTTGCTACCAGATCTATGCTCTTGGCCCCTTTAGATTCTGTGTGGCACCATTTTGTAGGTAGTGGAGGGTCCCATATTATTCTGGAAGGACCAATATTCTGCTTCCCCAGAGTAGTGGTTCTTCCCTCAAGTGATCTGTTTTCCGTAAAAGTAAAAATCTCCCAAACTACTTGTGTTTGTATCTTGAGTTTTTAAAATATTTTAAAATTCTACCTCACAATGAAGCCATTCGAAAGAATTCATGAAATCTCAAGTAAGTTAGATTAAACAGAGCTAAGCCTCATCCATGACTCATCAGTATCCATGTAGGAAAGTAGAAGTTTGTGGCTGGGCACAGTGGCTCACGCCTGTAATCCCAGGAATTTGGGAGGCCGAGGTGGGTGGATCATGAGGTCAGGAGTTCGAGACCAGCTTGGCCAACATGGCAAAACACTGTCTCTACTAAAAATACAAAAATTAGCCAAGCATGGTGGTGGGCACCTGTAATCCCAGCTACTCCCGAGGCTGAGGCAGGAGATTCACTTGAACCCGGGAAGTGGAGGTTGCAGTGAGCTGAGATCGTGCCATTGTACTCCAGCCTGAGCAATAAAAGCATGACTCCTTCTAAAAAAAAAAATAGATGGCAGCACATCCACTAAAATTGAAACAATATAGAGAAGATCAGCATGATCCCTGCACATGGGTGACACACAAATTTGTGAGGTGTTCTATATTTCTTGCAGTCCCCAAAAGGACCTTGGACTACTATCTTACTAGCTCCAAGGAAATGGTGTGAGTCAATGAAAAATGGTGACACCCAATATTGAAACTGTGATTTTCACACAAAAATATTTATGTAAGATGATCTATGGAATGAGATTGTGCCGGGAAACACATGGGATGTTGTGTGCAATATATTGCTAGTAGGCATCTAGGAAATGAGAAAATAACAGCTTCCATCCCCATCATGGAACTTAAAAAAAATAAAGGTAAGGTTTTTTCTTCCACAGCAGTTGGAGATGAACATGGGGAGTAAGCATTATTTCAACAAAGATTTATTGGTTCAGAGTTTGGGAAGTTTGGTAAAGAATATTAGGAGTCCAAGCCAGGTCTTGACATTCAACAGTTTTCTGCCCTGGGTGTGATTGATGAACTCAGCAACAGGAGATAATCATGTTGTCTGATTTGATGAATTAACATATTTATAAATAATTTTTATTACAAATTATGAAATAGATGCCCTGAATTACAAGCCATAAAAAAAGAACATCTAATAATCAAGAGTAGGACTTAATAACATTTTCTGAAAACTGCAACATTTGAATAGTAGAACCTATGAAGAAATACACTTTTTTTAAAATTTATTTTTAATTTGTAGAGATAGGGTCTCTCTATGTTGCCCAGGCTGGTCTTGAACTCCTGGGCTCAAGCAGTCCTCCTGTCTCAGCCTCCCAAAGTGCTGGCATCACAGGCATGAGCCTCTGCATCTGACAAACACATTGGGTTTTATTTGGGATTTTAAAATAGTTTCAGCAGTAAGGTTCAAGAATAAATTATTCCATCGCTTCACTACTTCTCTGAGCATTTTTTCAAATGCTGTCTTGTGAAGTCTTTATAATAACCTAGTTAAATAAGGCACTACAAGTCTCACTTTTAGAGGAAGACATTGAGCCTAAGAGAAGCAACTTAATCAAGAACGAATTGGTTGCAGAGCTGAGATTTATTCTGAGTTGAGGACATTTTCCGTTACGTCAGCCTAACTCTAGTTCATTTACTGAGCTATATTGCCTTCAATTCATGAGTATTTCACCTTACTTTCTTCTTTAACTAAAAGTTTAAGAAGTTCACAGAGCTCACAAATTTGAAGCCTATGAAATGAGTAAAGTTCTCAGATTAGCTCTAATATTGTCTGGAATACTCTAATAATTTAACATATTCAGTAAATTTTTTCATATCAGTGTTAAAATAGTACTTTTATTGATTGCATATTTCTTTTTTTCTCAGCCTTTTCACTGAATTTTTTTTAATTATACTTTAAGTTTTAGGGTACATGTGCACAACATGCACGTTTGTTACATATGTATACATGTGCCATGTTGGTGTGCTGCACCCATTAACTCGTCATTTAACATTAGATATGTCTCTTAATGCTATCCCTCCCCCCTCCCCCGACCCCACAACAGGCCCCGGTGTGTGATGTTCCCCTTCCTGTGTCCATGTGTTCTCATTGTTCAGTTCCCACCTATGAGTGACAACATGCGGTGTTTGGTTTTTTGTCCTTGTGATAGTTTGCTGAGAATGATGATTTCCAGCTTCATCCATGTCCCTACAAAGGACATGAACTCATCCTTTTTTATGGCTGCATAGTATTCCATGGTGTATATGTGCCACATTTTCTTAATCCAGTCTATCATTGTTGGACATTTGGGTTGGTTCCAAGTCTTTGCTATTGTGAATAGTGCCACAATAAACATACGTGTGCATGTGTCTTTATAGCAGCATGATTTATAATCCTTTGGGTTTATACCCAGTAATGGGATGGCTGGGTCAAATGGTATTTCTAGTTCTAGATCCCTGAGGAATCGCCACACTGACTTCCACGATGGTTGAACTAGTTTGCAGTCCCACCAACAGTGTAAAAGCGTTCCTATTTCTCCACATCCTCTCCAGCACCTGCTGTTTCCTAACTTTTTAATGATCGCCATTCTAACTGGTGTGAGATGGTATCACATTGTGGTTTTCATTTACATTTCTCTGATGGCCAGTGACGATGAGCATTTTTTCATGTGTCTTTTGGCTGCATAAATGTCTACTTTTGAGAAGTGTCTGTTCATATCCTTCGCCCACTTGTTGATGGGGTTGTTTGTTTTTTTCTTGTAAATTTGTTGGAGTTCACTATAGATTCTGGATATTAGCCCTTTGTCAGATGAGTAGGTTGCAAAAATTTTCTCCCATTCTGCAGGCTGCCTGTTCACTCTGATGGTAGTTTCTTTTGCTGCGCAGAAGCTCTTTAGTTTAATTAGATCCCATTTGTCAATTTTGGCTTTTGTTGCCATTGCTTTTGGTGTTTTAGACATGAAGTCCTTGTCCATGCCTATGTCCTGAATGGTATTGCCTAGGTTTTCTTCTAGGGTTTTTATGGTTTCAGGTCTAACATTTGAGCCTTTAATCCATCTTGAATTAATTTTTGTATAAGGTGTAAGGAAGGGATCCAGTTTCAGCTTTCTACATATGGCTAGCCAGTTTTCTCAGCACCATTTATTAAATAGGGAATCCTTTCCCCATTGCTTGTTTTTGTCAGGTTTGTCAAAGATCAGGTAGTTGTCGACATGTGGCATTATTTCTGAGGGCTCTGTTCTGTTCCATTGGTCTATATCTCTGTTTTGGTACCAGTACCTTGCTGTTTTGGTTACTGTAGCCTTGTAGTATAGTTTGAAGTCAGGTAGTGTGATGCCTCCAGCTTTGTTCTTTTGGCTTAGGATTGACTTGGCAATGCGAGCTCTTTTTTGGTTCCATATGAGCTTGAAAGTAGTTTTTTCCAATTCTGTGAAGAAAGTCATTGGTAGCTTGATAGAGATGGCATTGAATCTATAAATTACCTTGGGCAGTATGGCCATTTTCACGATATTGATTCTTCCTACCCATGAGCATGGAATGTTCTTCCATTTGTTTGTATCCTCTTTTATTTTCTTGAGCAGTAGTTTGTAGTTCTCCTTGAAGAGGTCCCTCACATCCCTTGTAAATTGGAATCCTAGGTATTTTACTCTCTTTGAAGCAATTGTGAATGGGAGTTCACTCATGATTTGGCTCTCTGTCTGTCTGTTATTGGTGTATAAGAAAGCTCGTGATTTTTGCACATTGATTTCGTATTCTGAGACTTTGCTGAAGTTGCCTATCAGCTTAAGGAGATTTTGGGCTGAGACGATGGGGTTTTCTAGATATACTATCATGTCATCTTCAAACAGGGACAATTTGACTTCCTCTTTTCTTAATTGAATGCCCTTTATTTCCTTCTCCTGCCTGATTTCCCTGGCCAGAACTTCCAACACTATGTTGAATAGGAGTGGTGAGAGAGGACATCCCTGTCTTCTGCCAGTTTTCAAAGGGAATGCTTCCAATTTTTGCCCATTAGGTATGATATTGGCTGTGGGTTTGTCATAGATAGCTCTTATTATTTTGAGATGCATTCCATCAATACCTAATTTATTGAGAGTTTTTAGCATGAAGGGTGGTTGAATTTTGTCAAAGGCCTCTTCTGCATCTATTGAGATAATCACGTGGTTTTTGTCTTTGGTTCTGTTTATATGCTGGATTGCCTTTATTGATTTTCGTATGTTGAACCAGCCTTGCATCCCAGGGATGAAGCCCACTTGATCATGGTGGATAAGCTTTTTGATGTGCTGGATTCGGTTTGCCAGTATTTTATCGAGGATTTTTGCATCAATGTTCATCAAGGATATTGGTCTAAAATTCTCTTTTTTTGTTGTGTCTCTGCCAGGCTTTGGTATCAGGATGATGCTAGCCTCATAAAATGAGTTAGGGAGGATTCCTTCTTTTTCTATTGATTGGAATAGTTTCAGAAGGAATGGTACCAGCTCCTCCTTGTACCTCTGGTAGAATTTGGCTGTGAATCCATCTGGTCCTGGGCTTTTTTGGTTGGTAAGCTATTATTGCCTCAATTTCAGAGCCTGTTATTGGTCTATTCAGGGATTCAGCTTCTTCCTGGTTTAGTGTTGGGAGGGTGTATGTGTCAAGGAATTTATCCATTTCTTCTAGGTTTTCTAGTTTATTTGCATAGAGGTGTTTATAGTATTCTCTGATGGTAGTTTGTATTTCTGTGGGATCGGTGGTGATATCCCCTTTATCATTTTTTATTGCATCTATTTGATTCTTCTCTCTTTTCTTCTTTATTAGTCTTGCTAGTGGTCTATCAATTTTGTTGATCTTTTCAAAAACCAGGTCCTGGATTCATTGATTTTTTGAAGGGTTTTTTATGTCTCTATTTCCTTCAGTTCTGCTCTGATCTTAGTTATTTCTTGCCTTCTGCTAGCTTTTGAATGTGTTTGCTCTTGCTTCTCTAGTTCTTTTAATTGTGATGTTAGGGGGTCAATTTTAGATCTTTCCTGCTTTCTCTTGTGGGCATTTAGTGCTATAAATTTCCCTCTACACACTGCTTTAAATGTTTCCCAGAGATTCTGGTATGTTGTGTCTTTGTTCTCATTGGTTTCAAAGAACATCTTTGTTTCTGCCTTCATTTCGTTGTGTACCCAGTAGTCATTCAGGAGCAGATTGTTCAGTTTCCACGTAGTTGAATGGTTTTAAGTGAGTTTCTTAATCCTGAGTTCTAGTTTGATTTCACTGTGGTCTGAGAGACAGTTTTACATAGTATTCACCAACAACTTTTGGAATATAAAATATGTCTAAACATCCTCAAAATTTCAACCCAGGTAAGACTTCTGACAGTAAACTACTCTTTGTGACACTACCATAATATTATGGAAGTTTTGATCACAAAAGAGCAATTAAAAATGTATAAATAGCATGTGGGTGTGTAAATTTAAATATATATAGACATATAAAAATTTCTTTGATTTAATTTTTTGCTTACAATTCACAATTAGTTAACAATGTTGTTTTAGATAGTTTATAATCTCAAGCAGTATTGTCTGAAAAAAATATTTAATTATGGTACCTAAAATTCTATATAGTTTTTTTGTATAAATAAAAAATTTTAAGTTCTCATGTTGTATGTTTCCTCTATAGTCATAAAAAATTAGGCTTGTTGTACAATATATCTTCTATTTAATTTTTATAATAAATGGTTTACGTTTAGCAAATGAGAATTACAAGTGTTTAACAAATGAGAATTACAAATGTTCAAGTAACCTCTTGAACAACATGGGGATTAGGGTGCTGATCCCCAGTGTAGCTGAAAATCTGCATTTAACTTTTGACTCTCCCAAAATGTAACTCCTAATAGCCTAGTATTGACCTAAAGCTTCACTGAAAACATAAACAGTTATGTATTGTATACTGTATTCTTGCAATAAAGTCATATGTATTGTACACTGTATTCTTGCAATAAAGCAATCTGAAGAAAAGAAACTTATGAAGAAAATTATAAGGTGGAAAAAATATATTTACTGTTCACTAAGTGGAAGTGCATTATCATACGTAAAGGTCTTCATTCTCATTGTGTTCACATTGCGTAGGCTGAGAAGGATGAGGAAGACGAGAAATTTGTCTTTCTTTCTTAGTGTGGCAGTGGGAGTGAAGAAAATCTATATATTATAAGGGGGGTCCTGCAATTCCAACCCTTGTTCAAGGATCAACTGTATGACATCATGATTTGTGTCACTAAAAAAGGAAATTTCTTTAGAGCTTGGAACTTAATAATAATTTTCTGGTACCATAATCATATGTCAGTAAGAATTGTTAAACTTATTCAGGGTGTATAAGTACCAATAAGAAATTAGTTTTTAAAGATACCTGCTTAGTGCAGAAGTCAGAAGAGCAATATTTTGTTGAGAAGCACAGGTTGTGTTACATACTCTTGTACCAAGAAGGTCTCATTATTATTGGCTTCATTACCCCTCAGTTGAAACCAACTAAGATAATATTTACTTCATTAAAACAAGATGTGTTGTTTTATCTGGTGGGTAATTGTCATAATAGTAATTTTGTTACAACAAGATATGTTCTGTTACTACTAGCCAAAATATTATTATAATGAATATTAAAATAGCCCAACTCTAGGCTCAATAAATTACAATAAAAGTACAAAATATTTTACAACAAGAAAAATGGTATTATACTGCCTGGATGTAATACAATGTACAATATACAATGTACATTGTACAATATGAACTGTATGACCATACCTCTATTATATATTTATCAAAGAAACTTCTGTAAGTAAGGTTTTGCATGTCGCAGGGATAAAGAATACACATAGTCCGAATCTTTAATGTGCTCATAATGCAATAGAGCTTTCCCTATTTAATTTTCATGTTTTTTCAATAGAATTGTCAAAGGAAATGCCTTTATTCATCTATCCACTTCTCTGCGTAGACATAACTGTAAAGTATCTTTAAGGTACTAAGCATTTTTATCTTGTTACTATCATTGTCATTTTTTATTATTTACTACCATATTCAGTGCTTACTCTGTCAGTTGCTTGCTGGGAGTTTACAATTATTATTTATTGTGTATTTGTCATATTTAATGTGGGACAGACACTTTATGTCCAAGGCAAAGAATTAAAGATTTAAAAAGATTGGTAGGATTTAAGGAAAGCATGCAGTGTAAGTAGAAGTTTTCCAGGTAAGGAGGCAGAAGAACGAAATTTGGCAAAAGGAAAATCTAACCAGATTTTGTGTTAGGCAGAAGGAACATCTGACGAGATTGCATGTTTGGCAAAAGGAACAGCAAGTACGAAAGGTCAGACTCTTGAGTGAGTTTTGTAGGGTTTATGTTAAATTCAGTGTTGCTAGTGGAAATAGTGTGGTATAGGAGTTGTTGGAAATGAAGTGAATATCTAGATATGGCAAGCTTAGGAAAGACTTTTGAATAGTATAGAACGGAGTAGATCTTATTCAGTAGGCCATTGAAAAGTTCCCAGAATACATCTGGCTGTAAATACTAGATGACCTAACTAACAATGGCTAAAACCATAGGCACCAAAGTTGTTCTGTTGGTTCAGGGATATCATAGTGTCACATGTATGTTTCCTTTTTTAGCTGTGCTATTGGCAGTATTTTGTTAATGTCTCTTTTCATGGTTGGCTAAGTAGCCAATGAGTAGCCAGTCGTTATGTTCTCTCAAGACAATATCTGAAGGCTGGAAGGGTTGCTTTGTTTCATGATTTTTTTGTTTGTTTTTATTTTTAAAACAGGGAGCCAACTCAGAAGTTTGCAGTGATCTTCCTGTAACACTTTAGTGGCCGGATGACACCACATGCTCATTCCTAAACCAGTCAGTAGGAAAACAAACGTAATTCCTATGATTAGCTTAGAACAATCATTTTTCTTTTTTTTTTTTGGAACTGAGGTGGGATAATGGAATGATAAGTATCCAAATAAACTTGTGTTTCTCCAGTGAGAAAGAAGGAAGAATGGCCATAGATAGGGAGCCAGTGAGGTTTTCTGCAGGGATTCATGGGAAGATTTTGGGCAGGGGAGTCACAAGAGGAGGTGTGAGTATTAGGGCATTCTGGTTACGGTATAAAGCAGGGATTGGCAAGCTTTTCCTGTAAAGGGCCACATAGCACACATTTCTAGGCCTTGTGGTCTCTGTTGTATGTTTTCAACCCTTTCACGCTGTTGCAGTGTGAAAGGAGTCAGAAATAATATGGAAGCAAATAGACATGATTGTGCTCCAGTAAAGCTTCCTTTCCTGAAGCATTTGATAGACATAACAACATTTAAAGTTGTATTTCTTTCCTAAGGTTCCTTTCACAAAGCTTTCTCATGACTCACACAGACTATCTACAAGATGCTTGAACTTTCTTAAATTTCCTATGATCCTCAATAGGGCATCCCCCATTCATCCTTAGTATTCTGGAGCAAATCGTTCTTACTGTGTGTCCCTAACCTTGGTCCCATCTCATCACAATTACCCCCTTGAGAACATAAAACATATGAAGTGAACAGAGGACTCCCTGTTTATTCCTGGGGTTCCAGAATGAACCAGTTTTACTGTGTACCACTAACCTTGCCTTCATCTTCTAGCCTGGGACCAATGCCCTCAATCTTGGCCTGGCCTCTATCCATGTCTCCGTGACCTTAGAGTGACCCTCACTCAGAGCATTCTAGCAGGAAAATGATGATCTCTTTACTCAAATTCCCATTTCTCATCTTCTTTAACCAGATGAGAAGCCTGTTTTTCAGCTAACTGCTGCAAGGGGGCTTGACTTTACTCCACTTGAATTTGACCTTGAAGACCTCGATGCATATCGAGAAGGGCATAGAAGTGATTAGAGAAATGGAGGCTACAGGAGCAAGTGGGAGGAAGCAAGTGAGGAATACTCATGGAAAGCCTCCCTGTGCTCCCCAAAACAGCCACCCTTGAATTTGAGAGGGCTATATGTATTTGCCCTCTTGACGTAAGGTAGTAACCTCCAGAGGATTTGGGCCTTAGGGTAAAAACTCCGAAAGGGTAGAGGAAGAATTTCCCTCCTCCCATAGGGGTACTATTTCCAAAAAAAGCAAGTAGGTAGGGTTCTTAAAAGGCCACAGAATGAGGCTGTATGCAGGTGAACAAATGGCTTCAAAAGCCACTGAAGAACTGGGCCGTGAGCATAACAGCAAGGAAAAGCATGTGGTAAGTCATAAGAAACTGGCAGAGCCCCGGGGTTCCAGTTAACGTCTTTCCCAGCAATGTGCCAGCAGATAGGGAAAGGCTTGAACATCATCTGAGCTGGGGAAAACAAATATAAATCTCAGGGAATATTCACAAGGGAATATCTCATGAGCAGAGCTCATGTCTCTGCTTTCGAGCCAACACAGCAAGAGTCACGGGCATGCGAGTGACCAGGAGCATGTGTATTTCAGGCAGAGAAGTCACATGGTATGCAAAGTGAAACCAGAGAAAAGGCAGACTGGCCTCCGTGGGAAAAGGTATGGTGGGTGACAAGGCCATTGCAGAATACACACAGAGAAAGGAGGGAATAGGTGGTGTGGACTTTTTGGAAAGAGCTGATTTTAGTTGTAAAAGCTGAGAGGAAGCCCCAGACATTGCACAGTCTTAGGCTTTAGCTTCACAGCTTTCATGAGCATCCTGTCCAGGAGGGCCATTAGTGCCTTGGTTCTACGTGGTACAGACTCCGAGTTCCTTCCCACTCCTGTAAGCCACTTATCAGCGTGAGCTGAGATTGGCCGGGAGGAGCAGAGCCACTTGTGGCCAGTGGAATTGTTCTAGGGGTGGTTTAGAAAGCAGGAGATTGAAAGGAGAGACAAAACCCAAGTATATGAGCTGAATTCCTTTGTCCGAAGAAGATGAGGTGTAGAAGTGTCTCACCATAGGGGACTGTACTTGAGTCAAAACAACACAGCATTGTTAGTAGCAGTGAATCTGTAAAGTTCTGTAGCAACTTCAATTCTTGCCTCCTCAGAAGAAAGAATTCAACGGCGGGGTGTAAGGCAGAGTGAGAGACTGAGGCGAAGTTAAGAGCAGGAGTAAAATTTCTTAAAATTTTCGGAGCAGGAATGAAAGGAAGTAAAATACACTTGGAAGAGGGCAACACAGGCAACTTGAGAGATCAATTGCATGGTTTGACCTTTGATGGGGTCTTATACATTGCCAGGCTCCTAGGTTTGTGTTATTTTTCCCCTGATTCTTCCACTGGGACAGGCTGTCCCTATGCACAGTGGATTGTCAGCACTTGGGAGGGGCCACATGTACAGCGTGTTTACTGGATTGTATGCCTGCTCACTTGAAACATTCTTGTACTGGTAGAATGTTCCCAGAGAAAAGTCAGAGAGCAGTTAAACTCTGGCAGTTCTCCTTTTAGGGCACATGTGTGAACCCACTCAACTAACTCCTAAGATCTTATGGGGAAGCTGCTGGTCAACAGCTTCCAGTGTTTCTGTGTATTGGGAGACTGCATTTCCTTGGCATTGAGTGTGACCAATTGTTATTTTGGAGAGGCAGCTTAAAAACTGCCTGACCATCATCTCTTAGTTGCTTGACACTCCTGGTGGTGGGACACCCTTTCTTGCCCTGCTCATGCCTGACTAGCTACCTACCGTAACAAGAACATCTGACAAGATTGAAGGCTTGGCAGAAGAACATCTGACATAATTGAACTTTTGGCAGAAGAAACATCTAAGATGTCATATTTGGCAGAAGAGACATCTAAGAGGATTTCATGGTCAGCAGGAACCCCAAGGGAGATGGCATGGTAGGCAGAGGGAGTATCTGAAAATTGCACTGTCTGCATAAGGATGACCTAGGATGAGTGCATGGCCTGCAAAAGAAACATCTGAAAAGATTAAATATTTGGCAGGGGAAACATCTGACAAGGTTCAATGTTTGGTAGTAAAAAGGTTAGCGGTGGCAGATTTGCATGTGTCAGCAGCAAACTGAAGTCTTGCCTCCCCAGAAGAAAGAATTCAACTGAGAGACATATGGCAGAGTGAGAGACAAAGGCAAGTTTTAGAGCAGGAGTGAAAGTTTCTTAAAAAGCATTAGAGCAAAACAAAAGAAAATAAAGTACACATGGAAGAAGGCAAAGTGGGTGGCTTGAGAGATCAAGTCCATGGTTGACCTTTGACTTGGGGTTTTATACATTGGTAGCCTTCTCAGGCTGCATTATTTCTCCCCTGATTCTTCCCTTGCGGTGTGCTGTCCATACATGCAGTGGCCTGCCAGCACTTGGGAGAATGCATTTGCAGTGTGTTTTTTGGAGTTGTATGCCTGCTCACTTAAGGTGTTGTTTTTTTACTTGATCTTAGCCAAAAGGCTGAGAAGCGATAGGGTGTTGTTTTTTCAAAATGTAAGGTGTTCTCAGAGACAGGTCACAAATCAATTAAAATCACCGTTTTGCCTCTTACTGCACACATCTAAGCCCACCAGCTCGAATCCTGAGATATTATTATGAAGCTGCTGATCACCAATTTTAGGTGTTTCTATTTATTGGAAAACTGCCTTTCCCTGGGCTGGCTGCAACTAATTATTATTTTAAAAAAGTAGTTTAATAACCACCTCATCTTCACTTCATGGTTTTCTTATATTGCTGGTGAAGGTGGGAGGGGGGCTTTTCTGTCCTGCTCATATCTGACTAGGTACCCAATGTCATGGGAACATCGGACAAGATTGACTGTTTGGCAGAAGAAACATCTGGTAAGTTTGCATGTTAAGCAGAATAAACGTCTGAGATGATTTCACATTTGACAGAAGGAAGAGCAAGTGCAAAGTGTTGTATGCTTGATTCAACTTTGTAGTGTTTATGAGCAGTTACACTTTGCTAGTGGAAATAATGTGGCATGGGAGTGGTGCGGAATGAATATCTACATAAGGCAAACTTCAGAAAGCCTTTTAAGAGTATATAAATGAGTAGACCTTATTCTGTGGGCCAGGGAAAAATTCTCTGAATACTTCTGGCTGTGAATACTAGTTGACCCAACTATAATAACAGTGGCTAAAACCATGGGAACCAAAGTTATTTTGGTGGTTCAAGGATATCATAGCATAGCACTTACTTTTCCTCTTTCAGCTGTGCTATTGGCAGTGTTTTGTCCATGGTTGGCTAATTAGCAATGACTCCAGTCATCATGTTCTCTCAAGACAATATGTGAAGGCTGGAAAGTCTGCTTTTCTTCATGTTTCTTTTAAATAGGGAGTAAAGTCAGAAGCTTGCGGTGATCTTCCTGTAACAATTTAGTGCACAATATGCTAATTCCTAAACCAGTCAATATGAAAGCAAATGTAGTCACTTTAATTAGCTAAGAATAATCTAATAAAATGTTAAGCAGGGGAGTCACAAGATTAGGTTTGAGTATTAAGGCATTCTTGGCATTGTATAAAGTAGGGATTGGCAAGCTTTACCCATATAGGGCTCAATAGGAAACATTTTAGACCTTTTGGTCTCTGTCATATCTATTCAATTCTGCCATTGCAGTGTGAAAAAAATCATAAAGTGTAGTAAGCAAATAAGCATAACTGTACTCCAGTAAAACTTCATATACAAGGCTATATTGAAGGCTGCATTTGACCTTTGGCCTGTAGTTTTCTGACTCTTCATATGGAGGGTAGCCATGTAAAGAGGTTGAGAAACAAAGGAAGTTTTGCAGTAGTTCATGCTATAGTTTGTTTGTTTTGTGTCACCAGTTTGTGCATTAGTATCAATCTATTATAAAATTTTGACCCATCCAGGGTAAAATAAATAAGTTAGAAGCTAAGATTATACATTTAAACATGTGGGATTTTTTCTTGGCATTATTCTATTTTCATTTTTTTGCTGAATTTTTTTAACTTAAGAAATATGAATAATAATTGGTACAATGTGATAGATTAACTTATTTCTATACATGTTGAGGTCAAAGAAATATTCATGTAGGATATTTTCAGCTGGTAATTGGATAATAGGCATTTAGAGCTGGAGCTAGACTCTATGGTTGAAGTTGCAGACTTAGAATGATTTTATTATAATTATTAGACAAAGCCATAGATCTTAATGAGCTTGTCCATAATGCAGAATATGTAGAAGAAGTAGAAGAAAGCCCTTGACAAAACCCAGGGAATATTAACATTTTTCAGAGGAAAAAGAGTTGGTAAAAGAGACTGAGCAGTGGCAAGAGAAAAGTAGGAGCAAAGTCAGAGGGAGTGATGTTGCAAACATTTTTGGAAAGATGAGTATTTCAAGCATGAAGTATCAATACTAACAGCAATAAGTAAATTGGATTTAGCTTTTAAAAGCTCTTTGGTGGTACCCTTTTTTAAAAAAAATTTAGAGTTCTTAGGTGTACTATTAATATGATTGATACTTCTGGTGGTCAAGAATCTACCAAGATGCCAAAAGTTACCAACTTCTTTGCAGCTACATACACAGGGTCAGAGAATGTTATTTAGACTAATGAGTACATGTGTCAACATTTTCCAGGACTGTCAAAACCTAAGGATCAGGTGTGAAGAAAGATCTTGTCTTTCTTAGCTGCTTCTTGTGGAAATACTTCATTTGTATTTCCTGAAAGAAAGAATGCTTTCAGTCACTCTAAAAGAAAAACCTGGTACCAACAACTAGAAGCTACTGTCAGATGCACATATACCCCTCCTCAATACAACCGTGTTTTGAGAGTTTCACATTTGAATCAGAAGTAGTTTACAAGCCAGCAGCTTGGAGAAATTGACATTTTAATAATAATATATTGCAGACAACTAATATAATGTCATATGGGGAGATATGGAGGGAAATATGGAGATATGCTTTATATACTAGTTTTCAGTATTCTGGGAATTTTAGGGATATCTGTAGAAAAGTTAGTACCTGTCTTTTTGTTAGTGCAATTCCCCTTTATTTTGCTATCTTCTGTTATCTCTGCTTTTACTGCTTCCTTTTGAATTTCATCCTTAAAGAAAGTACTTTTAGAACACATTTTTAAGATATGTATGTTTGACAAATGTGTATTATTTCCTTTTAAAATAATATACTCCATATCCTAAAGTATATCTGGTATTCTATGTTTCTAAAACTGAATTTCTTTATATGCATACCATAGTGACAGTGTCACTGATAATGCTCTGCCAAGATTTTAAGTGTCTTCTCAATTGTCAAGCTCAAATTGTTTTATCTGAAATAGTTTTAATATGAAGTTTTTTTCTGGTATTATATTTCTTCAGAAATTGGTAATCTGTGATTTAACTAGATTATGAGGTAAAATTCAATTACCATATTTATAAGTAAGTTGAAAGTTTGATTGATTTTTGATGGTTAAATCCACAATTTATGGGGAGCAGTAGATAAATCATCTTACATTGTGGAAGGAATTC